>NC_000009.12:36222121-36373636 GCF_000001405.40 Homo sapiens | reverse complement strand
GGGACAGGGTGAGACTCTGTCTCAAATTAAAAAAAAAAAAAAAAAAAGGGCTAACAAATACATACACCCACCACCTAGGTGAAAATTAGTGTTATTGATCCCTCAAAGGCCTCAGGTGCTACCGTTCCCCTTCATTTTTCTTAGAGGGTAACCTTGTTCTGGAATTTGACATTATTCCCTGTTCAGTCATAGTTTTTAATACTTAGGAATGTACTGTTAAGATAATGTGATTTTGGTTTTTGCCTGTTCTCCTTTAAATGTATTTTTCTTTGACTGTTTATTAAGCATTCTGTTTTTAATGTTGATAGCAGTAGCAATAGTTCTATTACTGTGATATAATGTTCCATTATATTAATGTACCACACAATTTATGTATCCGCCTGCTGTTGTTGGCTAGTAGCTATGCCCAGTTTCTTAACTTTTTTATTGGAAATGTAGTTTCAGTCTTGTTGCCCAGGCTGGAGTGCAATGGTGCGATCTCGGCTCACTGCAACCTCCACCTCCCACATTCAAGTGATTCTCCTGCTTCAGCCTCACAAGTAGCTGGGATTACAGGTGCCTGCCACAACACCCAGCTAATGTTTTGTATTTTTAATAGAGATGGGGTTTCACCATGTTGGCCAGGCTGGTCTCAAACTCCTGACCTCAGGTGATCCATCCACCTCGGCCTCCCAAAGTGCTGGGATTACAGGCATGAGCCACTGCACCCGGCTCTTAGTATTATAAACAATACTGTTAGGAACCTTTGTGTGTGCATTTCTCTGTGTACATGTGCAAAAGTTTCATTAGGATGTAAGTCTAGGAGTAGAATTGCTAGTCACAGGAAATGCCTTGGACCAGGAAGGGAGTGTCAGAAATGTCTGTTTACAGATGATGATAATAGTAATTAGCTTTGAGTTCTTTGAAAAGCATCATGGTCCTCGTTCATAGCAAGACAAAAGAGTAGTAGAGAGTATTTACCACCCTGAAAACTGGCTCTCCTAGTGTTTTTTTCAGCAGTGTGTCTTACTCTGTATTCTGTTCTTGTTTACTACTTAATATAGGTTACCTATAAGCATATTGCCAGATTTTCTCCCAGAAACAGGCTGTGCCAAGCAGATGCAGTTTTTAACAATAATCTAGCAGGATTTCAGTTACAGAGGTGAGCACAAAGCTAGGTATTTGAAAAAAACGAATGAAGTGAAAGAGGGATACTATTAATAAATGCAATAAAACAAAGAACTGTGAATAAACAGGGCCATTAAACTCAATTAACAATAAACTTCAAGAAACAATAGAACAAGCAAGATCGAATTTTAGAGTACATGTGAGATGTAAGAGGGAGAGGGATGAGGGATATTGTACTCATGAAAATCAACTAGAAATGTTAGCTGGTAAAACTTAATAAATAGAAAAAGTGAGTTCATTCAGCTGGGCGCGGTGGCTCACGCCTGTAATCCCAGCACTTTGGGAGGCTGAGGTGGGCGGATCACAAGGTCGGGAGTTCAAGACCAGCCTGGCCAATATGGTGAAACCCTGTTTCTACTAAAAATACAAAAATCAGCCAGGCAAGGTGGCAGACGCCTGTAGTCCCAGCTACTCGGGAGGCTGAGGCAGGAGAATCGCTTGAACCCAGGAGGCAGAGGTTGTAGTGAGCCGAGATCGGGCCACTGCACTCCAGCCTGGCAGACAGGGCGAGACTCTGTCTCAAAAAAAAAAAAAAGAAAAGAAAAAGTGAGTTCATTCTGGAAGATCAAGTGGAGGAAATTTCCCAGAATGTAGTGTAACGGGGCAAAATAAAAAATGTGGAAAAGTAAATTTAAGTATGAACACAGAGTCATAAGTTCTAAATGTCTAATATTTCCAGAAGAAGGCAATACGAGAAAAATTTAAAAGAAATAATGTAGGCCAGGTGCAGTGGCTCCCACCTATAATCCCAGTACTCTGGGAGGCTGAGGCAGGCAGATCACCTGAGGTCAGGAGTTCGAGACCAGCTTGGCCAACATGGTGAAACTCTGTTTTTACTAAAAATACAAAAAAAAAATTAACTGGGCTTGGTGGTGGACATCTGTAATCCCAGCTACTTGGGAGGTTGAGGCAGGAGAATCGTTTGAACCTGGGAGGCAGAGGTCGCAGTGAGCCGAGAGATCGTGCCATTGCACTCCAGCCTGGGTGACAAGAGTGAAACACCGTCTCAAAAAAAAAAAAAAAAAAGCTTTTAGTCCTAAGGTGGAGGGCGTCTTGAATTCAATATAATACAGTAAGTAGAGTTTGAAGCAAAAATGCAAAAAGGATTGTATTAAAAATAAAGTTAGAAGAAACAATTAATGGAGCAAGAAGCTGGAGGGACAATATCAAGAGCACCTTTGCGAGTTGATCTCATAAAGGAATGTCCCTTGTTCTCTTAAGATTGGAGAATTAGGAGTAAGAAGAAACAGATTTAGAGGAACAGAGTGGGAAGATTAAGGAAAAAGTGACCATAAAGAAAGTTGCTAAAATGACACTTGGAGTTCTTCCTAGAAGGGAGATGTTTGACCTCCTTTGCCCAATGTAGAGTACAGTTTTAATGAGGCAGAGTACTTTTTCAAGTTGCTTTTGTGCTGAGCCATTGTAAAAAGCAGTTTCAGAGAAGAACAAAATGAAAGTTTAGTCACAATAAAATTTTTATTAAACTATGTCGATGACTAGTACATGGAGAGTAAATGTGGGTTGCTTCAATAAGCAAATTCTCTCCCTCTCTTTTTTTTTTAAGACATGGTCTCACTCTGTCGCCCAGGCTGGAGTGCAGTGGCGTGATCTCAGCTCACTACAGCCTCGGCCTTCCAGGCTTTAGGTGATTCTCCCACTTCAGCCTCCCAGGTAGCTGGGACTATAGGTGCACACCACCACGCCCGGCTAATTTTTTGTATTTTGGGGTAGAAACAGGGTTTCACCATGTTTCCCAGTCTGGTCTCGAACTCCTGGGCTCAAGGGATCCACCTGCCTCAGCTTCCCAAAGTGCTAGGATTACAGGCATGAGCCACTGCACCTGGCCCAACAAGCAAATTCTAATTTAAAATTCTATGTAAGTATATATACCTTGTGTGCACCCATAAAAATTAAAAGTTAAAAATTTTATATATTCTTGGAATATTTATGTTGATACTATCATATTCTCAATCATATTCATCGCGTGTTTACCCAGTTTCTATTTGCGGTTGTCAGCAAATTATATGTTCTTTGGTTATTTCATGTTTTCTCATTTTTTAAAAGTGTCATTTTGGCCACATAGGAACTATGTCTTATGTATGTGTTAGCTAAATAGACAAAAAGGTGCCTATTAGGTATATGAGGAACACTGACAAGGTATCTACAGATTAAAGTTCGTTTTATTATAATATTTAAAAAGGGAGAAAATGGTAGGTTAAATTATATGAAATTGTTGCTATTAGACTATTTTTCACTTATAAAAAGGGCAATTTCATATGATTCAAGAAAAAATTGTAGCTGTTGATTTCTAAATACTTTCAGAGATGAATACCAATACTGTTTGCTTTCATTATTGTATAAAACATATACCTTGTATTTAAATTTGTAAGTTTTTAGAGCTGATGGGGAATTTTAGCAGTTATTTAATAATGAAGCTTACCTTAGCATATACTATTGATAGATATCAAAGAAAGACAATACAGAATCCTGATGGATCACAATAAGCATAATGACTTTCTTTTTGATATTTATCACAGTCCTCCTGTCAGGCGCCAGAGAGGAAGAAGGGATCGTCTGTCTCGACATAATTCCATTAGTCAAGATGAAAACTATCACCATCTCCCTTACGCACAGCAGCAAGCAATAGAGGAGCCTCGAGCCTTCCACCCTCCGAATGTATCTCCCCGTCTGCTACATCCTGCTGCTCATCCACCCCAGCAGAATGCAGTCATGGTTGACATACATGATCAGGTACAATAACAGAATGTCTTGGAAATACAGAAGCTGAAATTTTGTGGCAGTTTGAGATTTTTTTTTTTTGGCTTTTTGTTGCAAATTTCTTTTAGTTTTTACCTAAAATGAAGTTATTTAAGTTCCTCATTCCTTTTAAGAATTGAGATTTAAATTCTACACAGCTTCCATAGAAGAAAGTTGAACTTAAAAAATTAGTATCGGCCCAGCACGGTGGCTCATGCCTGTAATCCCAGCACTTTGGGAGGCTGAGGCAGGCACATCACTTGAGCTTAGGCATTCGAGACAAGCCTAACACAGTGAAACCCCGTCTCTACTAAAAGTACGAAAATTAGCTGGATGTGGTGGTACATGTTTATGATCCCAGTTGATGCAGAAGAATCACTTGAACTCAGGAGGTGGAGGTTGCAGTGAGTCAAGATCGCACCACTGCACTGGGTGGCAGAACGAGACTTCGTCTCAAAAAATTAAAAAAAAGGATCAAGGTTATGAAAGCTTAGAATGAATTCATGTATGCTTGATTTGAAATTATTGATTTAAGATTAGTAGGAAATAGCAGACAACTGATGGTTTGAGTACATATTCCTGTTTCCTAGTTTCTTCTGGAATAATTCAATAAGCAAGACAGTTGGGTACATCTTTGCTTATAGGTTTTCATAGGCCTCCAAGGAGATGACAGGTACAAGCCTACAATGTTTCATTTCCCTTTTCTTTCTGCCAAGAACTGAGGGACCAGCTGAGGAGAGAGGTTGCCTATCTTCAGAGCCTGAGGATGAAGACCACAATTTTATGGTGGTCTTTTCTGTGGAGTTTCTGAGGTCAAAAAAAAAAAGACATGTGTCTAAGCATGTCCTTATAAAAATTGCTGGATTTTAAGGATAAGGGGGAAATCTTGTGAGTTTATAAACCAAAAAAAATTACCAGAGAATGCTAATGAGAATAGGATCTCAATTTTCATCTACTGCACTAGATAATAAACAATAACACATAGTGACAATTGAGAAAATATCTTACCTAGATACTCTTCTTATGCCAGACATTTTTATTATGTTCATGAAACACTTAAAAATTGATCATGTAGGAAAGCTTACCTTATTTGTGGCCGTAACCTGATAAAAGTATGGATATAAAATACTGAAAAACACAATTTTTGTACCTTCTCCCCATCCCCTTGAGCAAGAAAAGCAAAATGGAGGAAAGTGTTTACAAAGTCCCATTTTGTAAAGCATAATTAATATGTATATGAGTGTATGTATATAGGACTATGTGAACACAGAGAAAAATACAGAGAAATACATACTAGGCTTGTAGGGTAAGTGCTAAAGTGAAGGAGGGGTGGTGGTTAGTGATGGAGCCAAAGAAAGAAAAGACTGCATTTCAGAAAAGGCAAGGTCTCATTTATGTAGTAGTGTTACGTGTTGAGTCTGTATATTGGAATATGAAAACATTACATATGTAAATAACCAGAACAACACAAGAATTAGAAATCCTGAGCAGACCGGTAGCCATGGCAGAAATTATAAAAGCATAACAAAATCCGTCTTTAAAATTAAAATTACACCTGAGGCCAGGTGCAGTGGCCCACGTCTGTAATCCCAGCACTTTGGGAGTCTGAAGCAGGCGGATCACCTGAGGCCCAGGAGTTTGAGACCAGCCTGGCCAACATGGTGAAACCCCGTCTCTACTAAAAATACAAAAAATTGGCCGCACGTGATGGCAGGCACCTGTAATCCCAGCTACTAGGGAGGCTGAAGCAGGAGAAGCGCTTGAACCTGTGAGGTGGAGGTTGCAGTGAGCCAAGCTCGTGCCATTGCACTCCAGCCTGGGCAACAGAGCGAGACTCCATCTCAAAAAAATAAAAACATCTGACTTCTTGTCTAACCTTTAAAGAACTGGTAATTCGAATTTAAACTATTCTAGATCATAGAAAAAGATAGCTTCCAAATATATTTTATGAAACTAACACAACCTTAACAATGAAACTTCATAGATGAATACAACAAAAGAAAGCTGTTGACTAGTTTCCCTCATGAATACAGATGAAAAAGTTTTAAATAATAAACCATAGCTAGTGGTGTATTAAAAGAATAAGCTGTTTTCAGCAAGAAGGTATGAGAACAATTTTTTAATTAAAAAAAAGAAAAAAGAATAACCTGTTGGAATAACCTATTTTAATATACCTAGTGATGTATTAAAAGAATAACATAATATTGAACCCGTCCTGCATGGGTTCAGTATTAGGAAATCTTTCAAGATAATTGGTTTTATCAACAATATAAAGGAAAAATATTAATAGGCGCAAGAAATATAAAATCTAGCCATCATTTCTTATTAGAAGGTCTTAAAGTGTAAAAAGGAAGGACTTTAATTTTCAATACGTGGTAGGAAGGCTTATTGATAGCATTCCTTTTGCTTGAGGACAACCGAGCGTGCTAGATAAAATAAGTATCCTGAAAGCATCAAAAGAGCTAATAGAAGAAATCAAAACTAAGGGAAAGTGGGGTGCTAGTTCTGTCCTTAAGGCATTTGTTCATTTGAGCAAACCTGGACTTCAATTTTGAGTCTGTCAGGAGGCAAAGGGGACAAAAATCAAGGACTATTTAAGGAGTCACTTTCTATATAGGAGACCCTTCCTGCGTAAAATACCAAACACTTTAAGTCGCTGTATACCCAGAATACAGGGATATCTGGTCACTAGGATAAGACTGAGCAGAAGTAAATTTGCAGCCCAAATTCACATCACTCTGTGAAGTTAGTGAAAATTCATTTAAAGTAATGGGTACCTCAGGGGCCTAGAAAGCAGGGGCAATTTCTCCCTGAAAGAAGGAACCTTCATTTTGGTTCTCAGTTCCCCCAATAATTTTTCAAGAACAGCGAGCAATAAACAAAGTTAACTCGGTACATGACTTAAAAAGGGCTATAATTGAAAACCAATAGAAACAGACCTACAGTGAATTCACCTACTTCAAACATGCTTAAAGGTGAAACTTTGAACACTTTCCTGCTACCTGGAATAAACCAGGATGCTGACTATTACCACATCTATTCAGTAGGCCAAGCCAGCAGAAAAGACAAGAAGAAAAAAGTTTAAGAATAGGAAAAGAACAGGTAACACCATCAATATTTGCAGTCAAACTGATTATACTGATAGAAAATCCCGAAGCATCTTAGGTAATTGTTAGAACTAAGAATTGAACAGATTGAAATGTTACAAAAAATGAATATACAATAATCAGTATTTTTTTTAATACCAGAATCAAACAGAACATGAACAACTTTTTAAAAGATACATTAACACTGAACAACCCAGACATACTAATCAGTTGCAATATGTAAAGCTTTTTTTTGATTCTGTTTGAGAGGAAAGGGAAAAAAGTCTAATAAAATCATTTATTTTTATTTGATGACATAATTGGAATTTTGAACGTGACTGCATGTTTGATTTTAAATAACTTTCCTTTAAAAATATAATAATGCTGTTGTGGCTAATTAAGTGTTCTTATTTTTTAGAAATGCATACTAAAAATTTTTTTTAAATGATAGGGTCCTGGGATTTGCTTCAACAAAACACATGAAACAAAGCAGTATATTCAGGTGGATTGGCTATGGTTTAATGGTTTGAGGGCTGGGCGGTGGATATGGGGGTTTATGCTACTGTTTTTGAACATATTTGAAATTCTCTGTAATAAAAATTCAAAGAAAAAATACCACTGAAAAAATCATAGTAATACTAAAGAAGTTAACTATCAGTCTTGGCCAGGCACAGTGGCTCGTGCCTGTAATCCCAGCACTTTGGGAGGCCGAAGGCGGGTGGATCACAAGGTCAGGAGTTTGAGACCAGCCTGGCCAATATGGTGAAACCCCGTCTCTACTAAAAATACAAAAATTAGCTGGGCATGGTGGCGCGCACCTGTAGTCCCAGCTGTTCGAGAGGCTGAGGCAGGAGAATTGCTTGAACCCGGGAGGCGGAGGTTGCAGTGAGCCAAGATTGCACCACTGCACTCCAGTCTGGGCCACAGAGCAAGGCTCCGTCTCAAAAAAAAAAAAAAAAAAAAACTATCAGTCTTAACAAAAGTGGTTTAAAACCACTGTGTAGAATACCAAAGCATTATTGAGAGAGTTTAAAGAAAACTTATTTATTTTTTGAGACAGAGTTTCGCTCTTCTTGCCCAGGATGGAGTGCAGTGCAATGGTGAGATCTTGGCTCACTGCAGCTTCCACCTTTCCATTTCAAGCGATTCTCCTGCCTCAGCCTCCTGAGTAGCTGGGATTACAGGCACCTGCCACCATGCCTGGCTGATTTTTTGTATTTTTAGTAGAGGTGGGGTTTCACCATGTTGGCCAGGCTAGTCTCAAACTCCTGGCCAAGGGTGTTCTGCCTGCCTCAGCCTCCCAAAGTGCTGGGATTACAGGTGTGAGCCACTGTGCCTGACCACAGGAAAACTTATTTAAATGAGAGATTTGACTCGAAAGATCCCGTTTTTTTTAAGGCTCTTAGTTCTTAAAAGCGGCACATAATAGAATTAGTATAATCCCAAATAAATTTTCAGTAGATTTTTGGTGTAACTTGAGAAGATGATTCTGTCATTTTTAGTGACAATTTAAAAGACCTGAAATTGTCTACAGCCATAGAAAGTGAACTACTGATAGTTGTTTCTGTAAAGTTTTATTGGAACACAACCACACCTATTTGTTCATCTGTATTGTCTTTGGTTACTTTGTGCAGAGACCATGGCCCACAAACCTAAAACATTCACTTTCTAGCTCTTTAAGAAATAATTGGCCCACTGACACCCTGGTCTTAAGGTCTAGACCAATTATTTCTCAAGAGTATTAGCTGAATCAGCTGAGCAGCAGCAGCATCACCTAGATATTTGTTAGAACTGCAGATTCGCAGACTGTACACTAGACTTACTGAATCAGGATCTGTGGGTGTGGGACTCAGCAATCTAGTTTACCATGCCCTCCAGGTGATTCTAATGCACATTGTAATTAGAGAACCACTGTTCTAGTCATGAAAGAACAGGTGGGCAAAGTAGCTTCTCCAGTTACTAGGAATTATTATAAAACTATGGTAATAAAGACATTTATGCCAGCATAGCCAAATAAGCTAATGAAATAGAATATAAAATCTAGAAGCCAACACATTTTCTGTGAATATGGTCATATGCTACATAATAACGTTTGACCAACAGACCACATATACAACAGTGGTCTCGTAAGTTTATAATACCATATTTTTACTATATCTTTTTTGTGTTTAGATACACAAATACAGGGGTTAGAGGTACCAACCCTCTACACTGTTGAAAATACACATATAATGGTTGACTCCCTCAAAAACTAATAGACTAATGTTGACCAATAACATAGTTAATACATATTTAGTATATTATATACTGTATTCTTATAATGTAAGCTAGAGAAAGTGTGATTAAAAAAATCATAAAATACATTAAGTTGATCATAAAGGTCTTCATCCCTGTGGTTTTCATGTGGGGTAGGCTGAGGAAGAGGAGGAGGAGTTGGTTTTGCTGTCTCTGGTGGAGGAGAGGCAGGCACACTTTATGCAACTTTTATTGAAATGTGGGCAGGGCACGGTGGCTCATGCCTGTAATCCTAGCACTTTGGGAGGCTGAAGTGGGCAGATCCCTTGAGGTCAAGAGTTCGAGCCAGCCTGGCCAACATGGTGACACCCCATCTCTACTAAAAACACGAAAGTTAGCCAGACGTGGTGGTGGGTGCCTATCCCAGGTACTCGGGAGTCTGAGGCAGGAGAAATGCTTGAACCCAGGAGGTGGTGGCAGTGAGCGAGATTGCACCTCCAAAAAAAAAAAAAAAAAAATCTGCATATAAGTAGACCCATGCAGTTCAAACTCATGTTGTTCAAGGGCTAACTGTACTTCCCTTGTGTTATAATTACCTACAGGGTTTCGTATAGCAACAGCAACATGCTATACAGGTTTGTAGCCTAGGGGCAATAGGCTATAACATATAAGCCTAGGTGTGTAGTAGGCTCTCTGCCATCTTGGTTTGTATAAGTACACTCTATGATGTTAGTACAACAATGAAATCACCTAATGACACATTTCTCAGAATGTATCTCCATCGTTAAGCCACGCATGAGTATATATACATGGCATATGACTTGATGAATGTAGGTGAGTTGGAACAAGACAGAATTGCTAATAAGTGGTTCTGGGACAGTTGGGTGACCAAATGAAAACATGACATTTTGAGGGCCAAAATTAAAAAGACTGACAATTCTATTGCTAGTGGAAGTAAAAAGTAGCATGATCTTTTGGAAACCTGTTGGTCAGTTTCTAATCATGTCAAACATACACCTACCCAGTAATCCAGCAATTCCATTCTTAGTGTAATCAAGAGAATTGAGTGCATATGTCCACACAAAAAAATTTCTACAGGATTGTTTATAGTGGCTTTCTATGTCTGTTTTTTGGAAATGTTTGTATTCATCAAAAGTTCTCACTGTGGTGCTCCACTGTAGTCCCATCTACTTAGGAGGCGGAGGCTGGAGGATCCCTCGAGCCCAAGTGATTGTGCCATTGTACTTCAGCCTGGGTGACAGAGTGAGACCCCCATCTCATAGATAGATACATAGGTAGATAAGGATGGATGGATGGATGGATGGATGATAGAGCAAGACCCCTGTCTCATAGACTGAAACAATTAATCACCGTGAAGACAGCGAAAAGGTATTTAACCAACAAAAGACTAGGTTGGGGTTCAAGCTTCAGTGGTTCAACCATAAAGAAAAACAGATTAGGGCCGGGTGTGGTGCCTCACGCTTGTAATCCCAGCACTTTGGGAGGCCGAGGCGGACAGATCACGAGGTCAGGAGATCGAGACCATCCTGGCCAACATGGTGAAACCCCATCTGTACTAAAAATACAAAAATTAGCTGGGTGTGGTGATGCACGCCTATAGTCCCAGCTACTCGGAAGGCTGAGGCCGGAGAATGGCTTGAACCCAGGATGTGGAGGTTGCAGTGAGCCAAGATTGCCTGGTGACAGAGCAAGACTCTGTCTCAAAAGAAAAAAAAAATGGTTACCAGAAAAATCAGGATAGTGATTCCTTTGATAACTGGGATCAAAGAGTGGCTGTGAGATCATTTTGACCAGGAAAGGGTCCTTGGAGGGGGTCGTTGGGGGATTTTGGCCATGTTCTGTTTATTGACCTACGTGATGGTTACATGAGTGTTCATCTGATGATTTTTTTTTTTTTTTTGTAGTCTTGATGTTCGTGCTTTATGTACTTTGGTACTTTGATTGTATTTTACAAAGTATTTTACAATGAAGTTTCTGAAAAGAAATATGAAACTCCTTCTCCCCCCTCCCCCGAGACGGAGTTTTGCTCTTGTTGCCTAGGCTGGAGTGCAATGGCTCGATCTTGGCTCACTGCAACCTCCGCCTCCTGGATTCAAGCCATTCTCCTGCCTCAGCCTCCCGAGTAGCTGGGATTATAGGTGCCCACCACCACGCCCAGCTAATTGTTTGTATTTTTAGTAGAGACGGGGTTTCACTGTGTTGACCAGGCTGGTCTCAAACTCCTGACCTCAGGCGATCCACCCACCTCAGCCTCCCAAAGTGATGGGATTACAAGCGTGAGCCACTGTGCCCGGCCCTATTCATTGATTTTAAAATGTACTATTTCCATATTTTAACATCTCTGAATTTGGGATGGATGCTTCTCGCAATTGATGGCATCTTAATCTTGGTGTCAGCCAAGCAGTAGTTGTAACACAGTCTTCATTGCTTGTGCTGTGCATCATATGTCTTGCAGTTAACCCATAGGGATTAAGTGGTAGTGTTTAGGGGGTGTGGCAGGAGGTGAGTTTAACATAAACCTCCAAGCAGGAGTCAAAAGTAGACAAGCTCTATATAATTACACCCCTGACTTAAGAATCTAGCATCAAGTAGCTTTTGTTTCTTTTATGGATAGTTTTAAGAAACGCTGCATCACCAACTCCCTTGATGGCACTGAACCTTTTGTGGGAAAACCAGACAATGACACTGAAATTAAAAGTGATTCACCAGAGTCAGACTCTGAAAGTGAAGAACTATCAGAACTAACTACTTTATTTCACTTATATTTTCCTTTTTTGAATGCTCAAGTGTTGTATGATCTCATTTAAAGTGCTTCTAATAAATATATAAAATTTATAAGTGACCAAGCGTTATGTTAGTTAAACAGAAGTATTTTTCTTAGTATGGGGAAAAAATGGCTATACAATCTGGCCAGACGTGGTGGCTCACGTCTATAATCCCAGCACTTTGGGAGGCCGAGGCGGGCGGATCACGAGGTCAGGAGATCGAGACCATCCTGGCTAACACGGTGAAACCCTGTCTCTACTAAAAAATACAAAAAATACAGAAAAAATTAGCTGGGCATGGTGGCAGGCACCTGTAGTCCCAGGTACTCGGGAGGCTGAGGTAGGAGAGTGGTGTGATCCCAGGAGGCAGAGGTTGCAGTGAGCCGAGATCACGCCACTGCACTCCAGTAAAACAGAAGTATTTTTCTTAGTATGGGGAAAAAATGACTATACAATCTGATGTCTTGGATTCAGCAAAATATGGTACTTGGCCAAGCGCGGTGGTTCATGCCTGTAATCCCTGCACTTTGGGAGGCTGAAGTGGGCAGATCACATGAGCTCAAAAGTTGGAGAACAGCCTGGACAACACAGTGAAACCCTGTCTCTACAAAAATAATAATACAAAAATTAACTGGGTGTGGTCGCATGCACTTGTAGTCCCAGCTACTTGGGAGGCTGTGGTGGGAGGATCACCTGAGCCCCAGGAGATTGAGGCTATGGTGAGCCGTGATGGCACCACTGCACTCCATTGTTGGCAATATATCAAGACTCTGTCTCAAAAAAAATGTGTGTGCAGTTGGTCGGGGTAGGGGGGTGGTATTTGTGACAAAGGCTGTTTATTAGAAATCAATAGTTTTATTGGTAAAATTCATCATACTTTTCCATTAAAATCAGATATAGGATATAGGTACTTATACACATTATTTTTGAAGGTTCTAGTTTGCTAACACAAAAAGATGATAGTTGGGTTGAACCTTATTCAGGTTGGACACCCCTAATTTGAGTATCTGAAATGCTCTAAAATCTAACTTTTTGAGCACCGACTCAACACTCAAAGGAAATGTTTATTTTAAGCATTTTGGATTTCAGATTTTGGGATTAGAGATGCCAAATTGGTAAGTATAATGCAGATTTTCTAAAATTCCAAAAAATCCAAAATGCTTCTGGTCCCATGCATTTCAGATAAGGGATGCTCATCCTGTAGTTGTATACCTAGGAAAGGAGATTCTAAGTTTTTTAAAAATACCAGAATTTAAAAGTTGGTAAGGTTGATATATTCAAGATAATATAGATAAAAATTATCTTCGTACTAACACTAACCGCTTTGACATGCAAATAGAGTAAAATAACCTCTTGTCATTATAACAGAACCACAGTTTGAGGAACAAATTTAATAATAAACTTTGAGAAATAAATTTAATAATCTTTTTGAAGAAAACTAATTTTTTTTTTCAATCCTGTCTTATGGGGTTGAAGGAAGACTTAATTTCTTCTTGAAAGACAGAACCGTGATATTCAACGTAATGGCATAATGTTTCTGGGTATAAAAAGTCTTAATATAGGTCAGGCACGGTGGCTCACGCCTATAATCCTAACACTTTGGGAGGCTGAGGCAGGCAGATCATCTGAGTTCAGGAGTTCAAGACCAGACTGGCCAAAATGGTGAAACCCTGTCTCTAATTTAAAAAAAAAAGCCAGGTGTAGTGGCACACGCCTGTAGTCCCAGCTACTCGGGGCGGGGCTAAGGTAGGAGAATTGCTTGAAACCAGGAGGTGGTGGTTGCAGTGAGCCAAGATTGTGCCATTGCACTCCAGCCTGGGCGACAAGGCTGGAGCCTGGGCGAAACTCCATCTCAAAAAAAAAAAAAATCTTAATATAAAATTCAGTCCTTTGTAAAATAACATATTTAGTACAATCTTAATACTAATGGGTTTTGGAAGTGAATAAAATTGATTTTATACGTAAGAATAACTGTGTGACAATGCCAAAAAATGAAAAGATGTATGGTGAGAAGAATTTCTTACCAGATGCTAACTCTTCCAGTAAGATACTGTAGTTAAAGCAGCATGAAATCCAGGAATGTGTGCGTACTTAATGAATTTTTAAAAAGATGGTATTTCACTGTAGAGGCAAGAAGATGGTTTAATAAATGGAGCAAGTATAATTGTCCATGTGCAAGCAAAATTAGAGCCCTACTTTATAAACAAAAATAAGTCTTTTGGAATACGAAAAACTAAAGAATTAGGAAATACAGGAATATATGTTTATAACCTCATCAGTAAAGGAAACCCCAAAGCTACACTCTGGCTACATTTAAAAAAAAAAATCACAAAAGACAAAAATATGCCATTAAATAAAGGATCTCATCAAAAGATAAAACATAGACTAGGAAAATATTTTCATTACACACAACAAGCAATAGATTCATATACCTCTTAAATAAAAAAATTACAAATGATTATGACAACCTAGAGGATCGATGGGGCCAGGTGCAGCGGCTCACACCTGTAATCCCAGCACTTTGGGAGGCCAAAGCTTCCGCCTTGGCCTCAGATGAAATTAAGTCTTCCTTCAGCCCCATAAGACAGGATTGAAAAAAAAATTAGTTTTCTTGTCGCCCAGGCTGGAGTGCAATGGCGCGATCTCAGCTCACTGCAACTTCCACCTCCCAGGTTCAAGTGATTCTCCTGCCTCAGCCTCCCAAGTAGCTGGGATTACAGGCACCCGCCACCACTCCCAGCTAATTTTTTGTATTTTTAGTAGAGACGGGTTTTCACCATGTTGGCCAGGCTGGCCTCATCCTCCTGACCTCCAGCGATCTGCCCACCTCGGCCTCCCAAAGTGTTGGAATTACAGGCATGAGCCACCGTGCCTGGCCAAACTAATATCATATTTTTTCAGTTGTGTTTATATTGGCAAAAGAGTTGAAAACAATTTGAACATGTGTTGATACACCATATGATAGGACTGTGTTAAGCAAGTGTTTCTTAAAATATCTGGCTAGTACCAAAGAGAACAAGTTACTTTTAACTCCCTTGCATACATACCTGCAATGTAGTATTAAATGGAAAAACAAAGTTGCAGGGTAGTATGATCTCATTTCTGTTAAGAAAACAAAAATAAATGTGACATTTTATATGTAATTGTGCTTTCATATGTTCATGGAGAAAGAGAAGAAGGATATGTTATCAGCATCGTTTGCCTCTGGGTGGCAGGTAGGATGGGAATAAGATTGGCTAGGCGGGAAATGAGATTTCATTTTTTTAAAAATATACTTTACATTGTTTCACTAGTTGTAATTAAAATTTGTTTTGAATGTGACCAAATAATGGAAGATACAAGCTTTAATGATTCCAGTTCTTTTTATTCTGCCTTTATAGGACAGGCTAGAAGAGTTAATATAGTAATCCATTATTTCCCTGGGCTTTTCAAGTCATTTGAGGGAGGAGTTTAGCCCCAATTTTGTGGAAATAGTATATACTCTTGAAATAGTCAACTCTCCCCTACAAAGACAATGAATATTCTGGTCGAAACTATTGGAGAGTACATTGTGAAAATCCGTGTAGCTGAGAGAGGAGCCAATAAATGACCAAATGTTGATTTTGAATAGTTAACATTTTATCTAAACAGCTAAAGTTTGTTCATTTGTTTTTTCCTTTAAAGCTCCATCAAGGAACAGTCCCTGTTTCTTACACAGTAACAACAGTGGCACCACATGGGATTCCACTCTGCACAGGCCAGCACATCCCTGCTTGTAGTACACAGCAGGTCCCAGGATGCTCTGTGGTTTTCAGTGGACAGCACCTCCCTGTCTGTAGTGTGCCTCCTCCAGTAAGTCTCTATCTTTGTTCTCATTAGATATTACTATTAAGCACACCAGCCTGAATTTGGTTTTGTAACTTCCCGACTCTTACCCTCTTTAGAGGGGCTAACTGCATTATATAAGCAAACAAAATTTAAGAGACTGTCTTTGTAGTTTCACTTTCAAGTAAAAAGGCCAATTTTATTGCAATAAAAATCTCAATAATATCCTTATAGTAACCATTTAAGAAAATTAGCTTTATAACCGGATATATTTTTACATTAATTAACTTATACATATATTTGGATATCCTGAGGGTCAAACCATGTTTTCTCATATGTCAACACCGTTTATAATTAAAGCCAATGAAGGTCAGCCTAAGTCTCAGAGACCTTATTGTTCAACACTTAAGAGTCTCAGCACTTACTGAGTTTTAATGGGCACTTTGAGTGCTTTGTCTTATTCCTTACTATAGGAAACCTATGATGAAAGTAGCATCATCCCCCATTTTCTAGTGTCTGAATCTGAAAAGTTAAATATGACTTGCTCAGTGCCGTAGAGACAGCTAGTATAGGAGAGTAGAGATTCACACTAACTTTTTTTTTCTTGCCTCTGAAGCTTATGCTTTGTCCTTTAATCTTTAATCTCAGTTCAGCCTCCTTTCAGAAATGAGGGCGCTGTATTTAAATGATGTATCTAAGGTCAACAATGTCTTCAAAGGAAATCACAGCAAAATTTAAATGTAACTCTTAATACGTTGCTCTGAATGTGAGATTAAAGCAAGTGCACACTTATACCAATACTAACTTAACAGATTAATTTACTCAGGCTTAGTTTCTCAGTAATAGAAACATTGTACCAAATTTGGGAACTAAAATACTGAGAGATTATAAGGCAATTAGTTGAGAGTTGTGCTCTTATGAAAATCCTAGGAAGAAAAAGATTTCTACAGGATTGAAAAGGGGAGTTTCTTGAAATACCGGTAGTGTTTGCTACATCTTAAACCAACTAGAGAGAGTTTCCTCTTCTTTGCAGCACTTCCCCCCCGCCCCCCCCACACCCGCCCCAACCCTTTTTCATAGATGGTTAAAAGGCTCAAGGATTTCAACCAATTTATAAAAATTATATAAAATACAGAATAGTTATTAGTACCATTACTTTACTAGTAGATTAAAAAATACACTGGTATTTCATTGTTAATATAAGCTATTAAAAACATTTTCATGATTTTGGGAGAGGTGTGACAATGACAGATTTTAATCTCACTATCCTTTTAAATTAATCATATATTCTGATATTTTTAACCAAACTGTAATGGTTTCTCTTACAGATGCTTCAGGCATGTTCAGTTCAGCACTTACCAGTACCATATGCTGCATTCCCACCCCTTATTTCTAGTGATCCATTTCTTATACATCCTCCTCACCTTTCTCCCCATCATCCTCCTCATTTGCCACCACCAGGCCAGTTTGTCCCTTTCCAAACACAGCAATCACGATCGGTAGGTATCTCTACTATTATGTCAGAATGTTTAGTTTTTAACTAATTTTTAATTTTTTCAGAATGTTTAGGCCAGGTATATAACCTTAGTGGATTTAAGAACCAGACGAATGCCTAAGTTACTATGTTTAAATGGCATGCTTAAACATAGTAACTTGGCCAGGTGCAGTGACTCACTCCTGTAATCCCAGCACCCTGGGAGGTCGAGGCAGGCAGATCACCTAGGGTCTGGAGTTCAAGACCAGCCTGGCCAACATGGTGAAACCCTGTCTCTACTAAAAGTACAAAAATTAGCCGGGCATTGTGGCACGTGCCTGTAATTCCAGCTACTCAGGAGGATGAGACATGAGAATCGCTTGAATCCAGGAGGCAGAGGTTGCAGCGAGCCAAGATCATGCCACTGCACTCCAGCCTGGGCGACAGAGTGAGACTCTGTCTCCAAAATAAACAAACAAACAAACGTAATAACTTAGGCATTCTTCTGGTTCTTGAATTAAAGGAATCCAAACATATACAAATTAGTATAAACGTTTACCTTAAATTTCTGGTTTCTTAAATTTTTCTAGTTATTTTAATGTCACTTGTCTAAATTTGTGTTCTATTACATCTGCAGTCCTTCAGGAAGTAAATCTGAAGAAAAGTTTTTAGTTGTATTGTTTTTTTCTTTTTATGTGGTTCTAAATTGGAAAATGAAAATATTATAAAATTATTAATACTTGTTAGAATAATATTTGTATTCATTTAGGCAAGGAAATTAACCTTTCTGAACTTGAGTTACTTTTTCTGAAGGCCTGGTTTTTCACTATGTTGTGATGAAAAGCAGATGAGGTAGTCTGTTAACATAGTTAATTCTGTCTTGGGACTGGGATATAGTTGAGAGGCCTATTATTTTGGGACACTGGGAGATATAAGTACTATATAAGTACAAAGAAGGGCACAGGAAAAAAGGTCCAGTTGTTTTGATAGGCCAGGTTCAGCATCAAGACCATCAGACATTAAGGAGAAACAGGAGAGATAACCTATAGAAGTGGCTAAAGTGGAAGATTTCAGCTCTGTGGAAAGAACTTGACAGTTTATTGTAGCAGTCTTACCATTGTTTACTAAGGATTTCTATACCATGCTGGGTACCAAAGAGGCTGCTGTCCTGAAAACTGTAGAAGCAATTATGACGCAAGTTTGGCTCATCAGAAGAGGTAGAATTGCTTCTGCAAGACAATCTTTTCTTGGAAATAGGATAGGATTTGTGCCAGGATGTTCTCCTTCTCAGCTTCCAGTATCTGGGAATTCAAGGCTAAAGCAAAATTTAGCTATCACTTGTATCTAAATTTGGAATTCTTTTAAAGGTCCAGTCACATAGCCATATCAAGACTTTGTTTTCACTAGTGTTGTCATAGTGTAAGCAATTGTGATTTCTCTCAAGCATGCATAGGCTTCCAAATTAAAGCTTAGTATTTACTTATATTTGAATAACATGTTGCTATTCTGTAACTAAGGGAAGAAGTCAGACTAGCATTTAAAAATAAATGTGCCTAAGAGAATTCAGTTGAAAACATCAGCATGAAAATGTGTACACAAATGTAGTAATAGCACTATTCCTAATAGTCAAAGAGTGGACAATCCAAATGTCTGTCAACTGATAAATGGGTGACGAAAGAGTGGTATATCCATGCAATGTAATACTCACTCATAAAAAGGAGTGAAGCATTGATAAAGTCTGCGAAACAGATGAGCCTTGAAAGCATTATGTTAAGCAGAGAAGGTAGACATAGCTTCTTGCTTATTTAAATGAACTGGTTCCATTTACATGAAACGTGTAGAATAAGTAAATACATAAAAATGGAAAGCTGGGCCGTGCGCGGTGGATTACAAAGTCAGGAGATCGAGACCATCCTGGCTAACACGGTGAAACCCTGTCTCTACTAAAGTCTACTAAAAATACAAAAAAGTAGCCAGGTGTGGTGGCGGGCGCCCTAGCCCCAGCTACTCAGGAGGCTGAGGCAGGAGAATTGCTTGAACCCAGGAGGCAGAGGTTGCAGTGAGCCAAGATGGCGCCACTGCACTCCAGCCTGGGCAAGAAGAGCAAGACTCTGTCTCAAAAAATAAATAAATAAATAATGGAAAGCTGATGGCTTGGGGAAATGGGGATTGACTGATAATGGGTATACAGTTTCTTTTTGGGCTGATGAAAATGTTCTGGAACTAGATAGTGGTGATGGTTACATAACTGTTAATATACCAAAAATCCATTCAGTTGAATTCCTTTTATCATATGTCAGTTATATCTCAATGAACTGTTCTTTGTTTTCTTGTGGCTTTTGTTTTTGTTTTTGTTTGAGACAGAGCCTCCCTCTTGTTTCCCAGTGTTAACTACACACTTTTGAAGTAGGCTCTGAGCATGCCGGTTTTATAGATGACAATACTGAGGTTCAGATTAAGTAATTTATCTGAAAGTTAACATGGCTGATTGGTGACAGTACCAAGATTCTAATGTCCAGAAGCCCATAATCTTTCTGCACAGCATAATGCCTCTGTACCATATCTCATTTAGCCCTGTTTCTGATTTATAAATGCACATCCTGTTTTGTTTCATCTGTGAAAGGTTAAATGTCTGAAAATCCTTTAGGTCAGGGTGCTATGACTGAAAAAGTAATTTTAATTTTGCTATAATTGGCTTATTCGATGACTTTTTGCCTTCTCATTTTAAGAGAAGGTTCAAATAGTAAAATAAATAGAGGGTAATGGAAATGTTTGATAACATGTTTTAAACCTTGTTGAAATCAAAGTTAGGAAGATTTTACTGTAGCCTATATGTTTACTTGTATGAATTTTAGATTCATGTGAATATCAAGAGATGCATGGCCTTAAAGACATTTTGGGATTTTAAATTTGTGATTATTATAAAGCATAATCTATCTAAACACAGGAAGTATATATATATATACATATATGTGTTTTTTTTTCCCCCTCCTCAGCCTCTGCAAAGGATAGAAAATGAAGTGGAACTCTTAGGAGAACATCTTCCAGTAGGAGGTTTTACTTACCCTCCATCAGCCCACCCCCCAACATTACCTCCATCAGCTCCCTTGCAGTTCTTAACACATGATCCTTTGCATCAGGAGGTGTCCTTTGGAGTAGTAAGTTTTCACAGAGTACTATGTTAATTACTTGCTTTGGCAACTTACTTGTTCTGAGTTATGTTTTAGTATAATTCACCATATTTAGAATTATATGTATTCTCGACAGCATTCAGTTGGAAAGTTATATTTAGAAATACACCTGAGTGTATGGTTTAAAATGGTTGCTGCATCCATTAATAAGTTAGTATTTAAGGAATATTAAAACTTTGAACAATAAAGAACTTTACTGTTTAAGTCTTTTTTTAATTAGATACTTTATTTGACAGGCTATTTGTAAACGTAGAGTGATTCTAAATCTTAACATTTTTCCCCTTGCAGCCTTATCCTCCATTTATGCCTCGGAGGCTTACAGGACGTAGTAGATACCGATCCCAGCAGCCAATACCACCTCCCCCTTATCATCCCAGCTTACTGCCATATGTGTTGTAAGTTCTTTCTTATCTTAATGATTTCTGAATTTTGAAACTCTTGAGATTCTCT
The DNA here is from genome assembly GCF_000001405.40 of Homo sapiens. Classification (NCBI taxonomy): domain Eukaryota; kingdom Metazoa; phylum Chordata; class Mammalia; order Primates; family Hominidae; genus Homo; species Homo sapiens. The sequence continues at coordinate 36,352,686 of NC_000009.12, read as the reverse complement.
TTCCTTTGTGAATGTCTTTGTGTCTATAGCTTTTGGTGTGTTAGTTATTTGTCTTTACTTAATGTTAAAGGGTGGGGTGGGAGGAGCCAGTTAAGGCTGAAAGAAAGAACAGTAACATAGGAGAAATGGGGAAGGAAGAAATCTGTGAGCCAAAAAATAGGTTTAACAGATCAAGAAGCAGAAAAGGTTAAGATTTTCTGCCTCTTTTACAACTGATAACACTTACCACCAGTCTTGATTATTCAGCTTTTAGTGCTGTTTTTCTTAGGGAGAAAGGAGAAAAATTTATTTATTTCTATGTCTTAGAACTACTCTATTTGGATTAAGTTGGTCTGTAACAGAAATTCCCATGGGTAGGTTTGTTGTTTTTTTTTTTTAATTTGAGATGGAGTCTCGCTCTTAAGTCTGTGCTGGAGTGCAGTGGCACCACCTCGGCTCGGCTCACTGCAAGCTCTGCCTCCCAGGTTCCAGCGATTTTCCTGCCTCGGCCTCCCAAGTAGCTGGGATTACAGGCATGGACCACCATGCCCAGCTAATTTTTGTACTTTTAGTAGAAACAGGGTTTCGCCATGTTGGCCAGGCTGCTCACGAACTCCTGACCTCAGGTGATCCGCCCATCTTACCCTCCCAAAGTGCTGGGATTACAGGTGTGAGCCACTGCGCCCTGCCAGTAATTATTTATTTCTGTCTCACATAATAAAGTCTAGAAGTAGGCAGCTCAACGATGATTTCGTTAGCCCTGTGACTATGAACAATGTTAATGGCTTCCTGTATAAGATCTAAGGTGGCCTCTCAGGCTCTAGTCATATGACATTCCACCTAGCAAAAATAAAAATAGATTCCTCTGCCTACCTGCTCCTCTCAAGGATATGTCCCAGAAGTGGCACGTATAACCCCTGCCTCTGTATCACATTGGCCAGAACTTAGTCACATGTCTATAATTACTTTCTGGGAATGCTAGGAAATACAGTTTTTATACCAGAAGGCCACGTGCTTACGTTACCACACTGTGGTCATAGTTTTTCCTTCCTTCCTTCCTCTCTCTCCCCGTTTTCTCTATTTATCTTTCTATCTTAATGTCAGATATAGTATGTCTCCCAATTTGGTCTTAAAATGTTTCAGTTTAAGGTCTTTTGCATTTCCTTATAAATTTTTAAATCAGCATGTGAGTTTTTACTTAAGTGCTTGCTGCAATCTTGGTAGGTATTGCATGGAATTTATAGATTATTTTAAGGAGAAAGTGACATCTGAATGATATTGAGTCTTCTAATCTTCTTATGTGGTATATTTCTGTTTATTCACCTTTAAGTTATCCTAGCAATCTATTTGCAGTTTTTATTGTACAGTTCTTGCATATGTTTTGTTAAATTTGTCAGATTAACACTAACCATTCTTCATCCTTATAGCACTGGCCTCTGTCCTCCCTGTCCTGTTCATTGATTTAATGTACTAACATATCAATGCTAGTGTGATTGTTTTCACTGCAGATCAATGCTTCCAGTGCCACCTGCAGTGGGCCCAACTTTCAGCTTTGAATTAGATGTAGAAGATGGAGAAGTAGAAAATTACGAGGTTAGTAGATGAATTGTGAATTAATTTGGGGAATATTGTGTGCATGAAAGTATTATTCTACTTAACTCTTTAAACCACAGGTGTCCAATCTTTTGGCTTCCTGGGCCACATTGGAAGAAGAATTACTGTGTTGGGCCACACATAAGATACACTAATACTAATAGTAGCCAATAACCTTTTAAAAATTTGCAAAAAATACATCTCATTTTGTGAAAGTTTATGAATTTGTGTTGGGCCACATTCAGAGCCATCCTGGGTCACATGCAAGCCATGTGTTCAACAAGCTTGATCTAAACATGTATTAGGTAAACACTTTGTGGATTTCAAGATACAAACATGTCATAAAAATGTTTTAACATGTTTAAGGATATTTGAATATGTAATACCACATAGCTATGATAACAGGTAGGTAGATTGGTGCTCTATTAGAATTACGTACAATTCCAATGAGAATGCAAATGAGAAAACAGTGAATTTTGATTAGGCATGCTGAAAAGATTTTGTGGAAGCCAAAATGTTTGAGCTAGATCTTAAATAATGTATAAGCTTTTCATCTTTAAGATTTAGGCAGAGAAGGGCTAGACATTCTTGAGAATCAACAGATGGTCTGTGGTTAACATAAAAGGGAGAAAATCGGCAGTTGATTGAAAAGCTCAATTGGTTGTCCTTCAGTGCTTGCTACAGAGTGGACATGATTTTGAATATTGTGGAGGAGGAAGGAGCCACTAAATGTTTTTGGTGCTTTATGGCATCAGTACTTGTGAAGAGTCCAAACTCTGCCACTACTGTGAAGTAATCGATGGGAGTGGTTAGAAAATGGTGACAAGGAAACCCATTTAGATGTTGTAATAGGTAAGGCAATAAATTATAAGACCATGCATGTTCTGAACCTTAGGAACTGCGAATAGAAAGGAACACAACAGTCAACCAGTTTTTGACAAGGCACCCAAGAAAACACAATGGGGGAAGGATAGCCTCTTTAAGAAATGGTGTTGGGAGGCTGAGCGCAGTGGCTCACCCTGTAATCCCAGCATTTTGGGAGGCCAAGGCGGGTAAATCACCTGAGGTCAGGAGTTCGAGGCCAGCCTGGCCAACATGGTGAAACCCCGTTTCTATAAAAATACTAAAATTAGCGAGGCGTGGTGGCGGGTGCCTGTAATCCCAGCTACTCGGGAGGGGGAGGCTGCAGTGAGCCAAGATCACACCATTGTACTCCGGGCTGAGTGACAGAGCAAGACTGTCTGAAAAAGAAAAAAGAAATGTTGGGAAAACTGGATACCCACCTGCAAAAGAATGAAACTGGACCTTTACACCATACGTGAAAGTTAACTCAAAATAGATTAAAGACCTAAACTTACTACCTGAAATGATAAAAGTGCTGAAAGAAAACAGGGGAAAAGCTCCTCGATATTGGCCATGGCATTGGTTTTTTGGCCATCACACCACAAGCATAGGCAACAAAAGCTAAAATAAATAACTAGGACTACATTGAACTAAAAGGCTTCTGTACCGCAAAAGAAAGAAACAGCAGAATGAAAGGCAGACTACAGGTTGGGAGAAAATATGAAAAACATCTGATAAGGGGTTAATATTTAAAATATTCAAGGAACTTACACAACTCAGTAGCAAAAAAAATGAATAACCCAATTTAAAAAAAATGGGTGGAGGACCTGAATAGACATTTCTCAAAGAAGACACAAAATGTCCAACCAGGTATATGAAAAGGTGCTCAACATTGCAATCAGGGAAATGTAAATCAAAACCACAATAAAATATCACTTCATACCTGTTAGGATGGCTGTTTTCAAAAAGTCAGTAAGTATTGGCAAGAATCTAGAGAAAAGAGAATCCTTTATTCCATGGGCTGCAGAGTGAATGTTGTGTTAGCAGGCAGGAAAACCAGATTCATCTCTTTGTACATCTTCATCAGAGCACTTGAGCAGTAATATTTTGAAAGGAATCTTTTTCTCTTGAACAAGTCTCAAGTTGTCTTAAAATGTTCCATAAACCATACTGTAAACAGACGTTTTGTCATCCAGGCTTTATTATTGGGCAGTGTAGATTTAGCATAATTTCTTAAGGGCCCACAGAATGGCAGATGATTATTGGCTTCAGCCTACAGTCACCAGCTGTGTTATCCCCCCAAAAAGAGTCAGCCTGTTCTTTGAAGCCAGGCACTGCCGCCTTTTCTTTCTAGCTATGAAAATCTTAGATGGCATCCTCTTCCAATATAGGGCTGTTCCGTCTACATTGAAAATCCATTGTTTAGTGTATTCACTTTCATCAATGATCTTAGATAGAGCTTCTGGGTAACTTGCTACAGCTTCTGTATCAGCATTTCCAGCATCACCTTGCACTTCGTTGTTATAAAGATGGCTTCTTTCCTTATACTTGATGAACCAGCCTTTGCTAGCTTCCAACTTTTCTTCTGCAGCTTCCTCACCTCTCTCAACATTGATAGAATTAAAGGACCTTGTTCTGGATTAGGTTTTGGCTAAAGAGAATGTTGTGGCTGGTTGGATTTTCTATCTGTATCACTCAGACTTTCTCCATATCAGCAATATGGCTGCTTTGCTTTCTTATTCGTGCGTTCACTGGAGTGACTTTTCTGTTTTCTTTTTGTTTGTTTGTTTGTTTTGTTTGAGACAGGGTCTTACTCTGTCACCCAGGCTGGAGTGTATTGCCACGAACTCCGCTCAGTACAGCCTCAACCTCCCAGGCTCAAGCGATTCTCCCACCTCAGCCTCCTAAGTAGCTGGGACAGTAGATACATGCCACCACACTTGGCTAATTTTTGTGGATTTTTTTTTTTTTCTTTCAGAGATAAGGTTTTGCCATCCAAGGCTAGTCCAAGTGTTGGGATTACAGTCATGAGCCACTGTGCCCAATGAGAATGGCACTTTTTCTATTCGAACTTTGCCTTTGCCTTTAGAACATGGTTACTGGTTTGGTGCAAGAGGCCTACATTTTGGCCTGTCTCCGCTTTGACATGCCTTTCTTACTAAGCTTAATCATTTCTAGTTTTTGTTTTGTTTTTTTGAGACGGAATCTCACTCTGTTGCCCAGGCTGGAGTGCCGTGGCGCAATCTCGGCTCACTGCAAGCTCCGCCTCCTGGGTTCACGTCATTCTCCCGCCTCAGCCTCCCGAGTAGGTAGGACTACAGGCGCCCGCCACCATGACCGGCTCATTTTTTGTATTTTTAGTAGAGACGGGGTTTCACCGTGTTAGCCAGGATGGTCTCGATCTCCTGATCTCATGATCCACCCGCTCAGCCTCCCAAAGTGCTGGGATTACAGGCATGAGCCACTGTGCCCGGCCTAATCATTTCTAGTTTTTAAAGTGAGACACATGTGACTCTTCCTTTCACTTGAACAATTAGAGGCCATTGTGGGGTTATTAATTGGCATAACTTCAATATTGTTGTGTCTCAGAGACTAGGAATACCGCAGGAGACGGAGAGAGATGGGCGAATAGCCAGTCGTTCAGTGGAGTAGTCAGAATACCCAACATTTATCAATTAAGTTTTCTGTCTTATACAAGTACAGTTTGTGGTACCACAAAACAAGTGCAATAGTAACGTCAAAGATCAGAGATCATTATAGCAGATATGAAAAAGTTTGAAATGCTGTGAGAATTACCAAAATGTGACACCAGGATATGAAATGACTACATGACTGTTGGAAAAATTGAATTAATAGATTTGCTCAATATGGGGTGGCCACACACCTTCAATTTTTTGTTTTTGTTTTAAAAAGGTCGTATCTGTGGCATGCAGTAAAGCAAAGCGCAGTAAAGTGAAATATGCCTGTGTAGTCTTTATACTGTAAGAACTTAACATATTCTGTCACAAATTGTATTTGTTGACCTTTGTGTACTAAGAGATATAAAAGATCATTATCAATGATATCATAAATTTTATCTAAATTTTATATATTGTAATCACCATCAATTTGGCAATTTACTTCCCCCCCCCCCCCCCCCCCCCCCCCCCCCGAGATGGAGTCTCCCTTTGTCGCCCAGGCTTGGAGTGCAATGGTGCAGTCTCGGCTCACTGCAACCTCTGCCTCCCGGGTTCTAGTGATTCTCCTCCCTTAGTCTTCCAAGTAGCTGAGATTACAGGTGCACGCCACCATGCCTGTCTAATTTTTTTGTAATTTTAGTAGAGACGGGGTTTCACCGTGTTGACCAGGTGGGTCTCAAATGCCTGACCTCAAGTGATCTGCCTGCCTTAGCCTCCCAAAGTGCTGGGATTACAGGCTTGAGCCACCATGTGTGGCCTGGCAATTTACTTTCTATTCCAGCATTTAGAAGGGCTGGGGAGCTAGTGAAAGGGGAACAAATTATTTAGATGACGCAATTATCTAAATAATGTTGACACAGAAGCAAAGTTGTAGTATCATAATAAAACACACAGTTATTACATTAACTGTTGACATTTGGGGAATTTATTTCTGTTTCTCTCATCTGTCATTATTTGTTACCCATTCTGTTAACCCTGGGCAACCTGAAAAAATGGAGAAAAGCAGTCCACAAAAGGCAGACTAATTGCGAGATAAACCAAATGAGTTATTAGAGTCATTAAGGAAAGGAGGTACTGGTGTAAAATCAATAAGCATAATAATTGGCTGGGCATAGTGGCTCACTCCTGTAGTCCCAGCACTTTGGGAGGCCAAGGCAGGTGGATCACTTGATGTCAGGAGTTTAAGCCCAGCCTGGTCAACGTGGCAAAACCCTGTCTCTACTAAAAAATAAAAAATACAAAAAATTAGCTGGGCAGCTACTCAGGAGGAGGAGGCAAGAGAATCGCCTGAACCTGGGAGGCAGAGGTTGCAGTTAACCAAGATCATGCCATTGCACTTCAGCCTGGAGGATGAAGCAAGACTCTGACTCAAAAAAAAGGGCATAATAATTACAGTATTGAAACACATCAAATATGTTAAAGTTCATGAGTTGATGGTGGATACTTCATAAAAGAAATTAGGTGGTCTCATTTATCCTATTCTACCTAAATTATTCTGAGTATTGTTTAATATGAGGTATTCTAATAAATGAAGAATGATAAAATAAGAATATTACTGTTTTGCCATTTTTAATGAATTAATGGATCTTGACAGTATTCCATCATTGGCTGCTAACATAACCAGTGGACACGATGGGTCTTATGGTATAAGTATTCACATCTCCCTATTTATAGGACAAGGGGGCAAGGGATTTGTTAAACCCAGTGGGTCAGGGATGGGAGGTTCATTTAGCAGATTTCAAACTGGGAATTTCTACAGCTCATTAACCTGGTTTCTTCAAATTTAAGAGTGAAAAAGAGTCTTGAGACATATTAGGCCATGGTAAGTTACGGATTTGTTTGGATCCTTATTTGAACAAACTACTTTTTAAAGTTTTGAATTGAAAACAAAGACATTTGAACGTTAATTGGTCATTTGATGTTAAAGAATTAGTGTTAATATTTTAGGTGTGATGATGTCATTGTGGTTATATTCTAAAAAGTCTATCTTTTTAGAGCAGCGATTCTCAACCTGGGGACAGTTTGTCCCCTAGGGGATATTTGGGAATGTGTGGAAACATTTTTGGTTGTTACAGCTAGGGGGTGTTAACTGGCACTGAGAGTAGAGGGAGGCCAGGAATGCTGCAAAACATCCTGTAGTCCCCAGGCCAGCCCCGACAACAAAGAATTATCCAGCTCACAGGGTCAAAGTTACTAACTTTGTTTTACAGATGCACTTGATACAAATGAAATGATACCATCTTTCAGTTTTGTTTTAAAATAAGGTGAGGTTTAGGATAGATTGTAATAGGTAAAAGATTAGCCATGGACTATTGACCTGCGTAATGGATAGATCAAGGTTCATTAATGTTACTTTTCTCCTTTTGTATGTGTTTAGATTTTTTCATAAGAAACATTTAAAAAATTATTTTAATAGGGCTGCAGTGGTACGCAATTGTAGCTCCAGATACTCAGAAGGCTGAGGCAAGAGTATTGCATGAGGTCAGGAGTTCGAGGCCACAGTGCACAATGATCATGCCTGTGAACAGCCGCTATACTCTAGCCTGGGCAACATAGCAGGACTCCATCTCTTAAAAAAAAAAAGTATTGGAATGCAAAATGTAAAGATAGATGAAAATATGTCGTCTTTTACCGCTGCAGGCCCTGTTAAACCTGGCAGAGCGACTGGGAGAGGCAAAGCCTCGTGGACTGACTAAAGCAGATATTGAACAACTTCCTTCTTATCGGTTCAATCCTAACAACCACCAGTCAGAACAGACTTTGTAAGTAAATTTTTCTGACATCACTGCTAAATTTCCTTTTCTACCTTTATGAAATAAAAGCTTAAGAGTCATTAAGGTAAAAGTTGGGAGAGGAAATAAAAAATTGAAAGAAAATGCTTAGGAGTCAGAGATAACTTTGATAAAGATAAGTTATCTTTATTTCATAGTCTAAACCAGTGCTTGTCCAGTAAGTCAATGTAGAGCTAATTAAATTAAAAATTAAATGTCTTAGTCGTACTAGCTAATAGCTGCTGTGTTGGGTGGTATGGATGTAGAACATTTCTGTCATCTTAGAAAGTTCTGTTAGGGCTGTTCTGGATTTTTATGTTGCTTAGCAATTTTGTTTCTAATTCACATTCTAGAATGTTTGTTTTCACACAAGATTGAAAATTCATGCACATAAAGTTTTGAGGTTCTTACCTAAAATTTCTGCTTAATATGGGATCTTTTAAAAATAGCTTTATTGATATATAATTTACATACCATAAAATTCCACTCATTTAAAATGTACAATTCAGGCCGGGCGCAGTGGCTCACACATGTAATCCCAGCACTCTGGGAGGCTGAGGCGAGTGGATCACCTATGGTCAGGAGCTTGAGACCAGCCTGGCCAACATGGCAAAACCCTGTCTCTACTAAAAATACAAAAATTAGCTGGACATGGTGGCAGGCACCTGTAATCCCAGCTACTCGAAAGGCTGAGGCAGGGAGAATTGCTTGAGCCCAGGAGGTGGAGGTTGCAGTGAGCCGAGATCACACCACTGCACTCCAGCCTGGGTGACAGAGCAAGACTCCATCTCAAAAATAATAATAATTTAAAAAGTACAATTCAGTGGTTTTTTGTATATTCATAGAGCTGTGTAACTATCACCACAATCAAATTTAGACCCATTGCATCACCCTAAAACAAAACCCCTCACCCACTGGCAACACTCGTCATATTTCTACCTCACCTTGGTGCCTCCTCCCCATCCCCAGTCTACACTGTGTCTATATAGATTACACATAAATGGGGTCATACAATATAGGGTCTTTTTGTGTCTAGCATCTTTCACTTAGCATAACTTTTTCTATATTGTAGCTTTTACTGGTAAGTCATTTCTTTTTATGGCCAAATAATATTCCATTGTATAGATCATATTTTTTTTTCGTCGATGGATGGACATTTGGGTTTCCACTTTGGGATTGAATAATGCCAAAGCTAAATAATGGCTTTGAATCACTCTATATTGTCTATTTTTTTTTATTATAGCCAGTCTAGTGATTGTGAAGTGGTATTTCCTGCAGATTTGATTTGCATTTCCCTGATGGCTAATGATCTTGAGTGTGTTTTCATGTGCTACTAGCCATTTGTGTACCTTCTTTCCAGAAATGTCTATTCTGATCCTTGCTTCATTTTCCATAAATTGGTTTGTCTTTGTATTATTGAGTTGTAGAGGTTTTATACATATTATAGATCTCACCAGATAAATTATCTTCAAAAATGTCTTCTCTCAGAACAGGGATCTCTGAGGAATAGAATAATAAAAAGTGTAAAAAAAATGTTTTGCCATTCTGTGGATTGTTGAGTTTTTCAGTGATGTCCTTTGAAGCACAAAATGTTTAAATTTTGATTTTGGTTTATTTCAGCCTACACTAAGCCCTCTGTATTCAACCAACCAAAGATTGAAAATATTCAGGAAAAAATAAAAATAGAAAATAACAATAGAGCAATACATAGTACAAATAAAGAACAATACAGTATAACAACTATTTACATAGCACTTACATTGTATTAAGTATTATAGTGATGATTTTAAAGCATATGGGAGGGTGTGCATAGGTCACAAATACTATACCATTGTATATAAAGGATTTGAACATCTGCAGATTTTAGTATCCATTGCAGGTCCTAGAAATCAATCCCCCTCAAATACTGAAGAACAACTGCATTTCTTTTTTTCTTGTTAATTCTTGTGCTTTTAATGTCATCTCCAAGAAACCATTGTCTAATCCAAGGTCATGAAAATTTACTGTGTTTTCTTCTAAGAGGTTAATAGATCAGCTCTTAACACTTAAGCTTTTGATCCATTTGAGTCAGTTTTTATATATGGTATGAGGTAGGGGTCCACCTTTATTCTTTTGTATGTGGACATCCAGTTCTAATACCATTTTTTTTTAAATAGTATAGAATCTTTGGTATTAAGATTGACTTGATGTTAACTAGAAATTTTCTTGCTAATCTGTCAGCAAAGCAAAACTCTTACTGCCTTAACATCACAATTTTTTCAGGGTATTGGTTGATAATTTTGTTTAAAAATTTAAGTGACGTTTTGATAACAGAATAAATTATCTTGTAGGTTTCAGTAGTCATAACAATAGAAAACCATCTGGTTTTGTGGTTAAATGATCTTTTTGCTTTTTTTAGGTGTGTAGTATGCATGTGTGATTTTGAGTCAAGGCAGCTACTTAGAGTCTTACCCTGTAACCACGAGTTCCATGCCAAGTGTGTTGACAAATGGCTTAAGGTAAAGTGATGACATCTTTAAAGGAAATGACATTGAATTTTCTATTTTATTGACCATGGATTAGAGTAAGTTCATAGCTCAGTGGACAGGAAGGAAGACAAAATGGAAACACAGCTTTCAGTATGATCTCTGCAAATGAGAAAAGGCCAGTAAAAATTAACTGCAGTCAACAACATAGGAGTGACTATACAAAATCCAAAATGGATGACCTCTTGACAATCAGTATGTCCTTTTTCATGGTATATAGGGACAAGGCCCGAACTTGCTAGGCCACAGTTTGAGAGTTTAGAAGGCTACCTAATTATAGCTCTATTTTCAGAGGTTAGCATGGAGAAAAATACATCTAGTGTTTTTATTTAATTCTGACCATTTTCTCCTTTGTATATATGAACAAAAGCACAAAGGACACAAATCCTAAGAGTGGCTATGCCAGAGTGAAATTATTGCAGGGGCTTCTTTATATATATATATATATATATATATATATATATATATATATATATATATATATATATATATATATATATATATTTTGAAACAGGGTCTCAGTGTGTCACCCAGTCTGGAGTGCAGCGGTACAGTCATGGCTCAATGTAGCCTTGACATCCCAGGCTCAAGCGAGACTGGGTGTCACTATGTTGCCCAGACTGGTCTGGAACTCTTGGGCCCAAGCAATCCTCCCACCTCAGCCTCCCAAAGTGTTGGGATTATATACTGCACCTGGCTATTTAATGTTTAAAAAAAAAAGTTTACAAAAGCTGCTTTTTTACTCTTCATAGTTTCATAGTCTCAAATTGTGATACAGTAAAATGTGATACAGTAAAAGAATTTTAATAGGCTGGGTGCAGTGGCTCCATGACTATATAAAAAAAATATAGTCAAATTTATGTTATTTTTTAAATTAAGTGTTCCGGTTTGGATAAAACTAGATAACCTTACTATTTGGTGAGGAAGATAAAGTCAGTTCTGAGGGAGCACAGTTCCAGAGATCTAGTTTAGCCCAAACTCAATCCTGAAGACAAAGAGTCTTAAATTATTTTAAAAGGAAAGCATTATATGTGTAAATCCCTGACACGTGCGGACAGAGAATCAGAAAACCACAAGTTCCGTGTGGCTGATAGTTGGAATGTGAGGAAGAGTGGGAAAAGAAAAGGTGTTCAGAGATAAAATCAATGAGCGGCTTGTTGTGAAGCCACTCTGAAGCGTAAAGGAGTTTAGTGTGATCCTGAAAGCATTTGGGAAGTATATAACAGACTGTTTTATAGAAGGATTTCTGGCCACTGTTCTAATAAAAGAGGTAATTTCTGAGAGACAGGGAGATAGAATAAAGACATGGTGGGCCAGAGAATGGATAGTAGCAACTAGATGAAAAGAGGGACTGATTTGAGAATTACTGTAATGCAGAAATAAGATTATGTGCTGAATAATGGGGTTGTAGGAAGTAGGAGAGCAGGTGATGCTTATGTGTCTGGCATTAGCAACTCCACAAATTATGGTCCCATTTGTTGAAATGGAGAAAGCAAATTTAGGAGCCAGGGAACAGGTGAGTAAGTAGAGCTATCAGTATAGAGTCAGTCACCTATTTTACAATCAAGCTTTCCTCGGTACCACTAAATGTTTTCTGTGACTTCATTCCATTAAGAATAGCCAAGGGGCCAGGAATGGTGACTCAGGCATGTAATCCCAACATTTTGGGAGGCAAAGGCAGGAGGATCATTTGAGGCCTGGAGTTTGAGACCAGCCTGGGCAACTTAGTGAAACCCGTCTTTTAAATTGGTTGGGTGTGGTGGCACACACCTGTTAATCCTAGGTTTTCAGGAAGCTGAAGCAGGAGGATCACTTAGGCCCAGGAGTTCAAGTCTGTAGTGAGCTGTAGTCATGCCACTGTGCTCCTGTGGGCAACAGGGTTTAACCCTGTCTCAAAAAACGGGGGAAAAAAAGACTAACCAAGCTTTTACTTTAATGTCAGTTGTTAACTTGGTCCAAACTGGTCAATGGTAATCTTGTTTATATATTTTAACAGACCTACTAAAAATCATTCATGGCGGCCAGGCGCAGTGGCTCACGCCTGTAATCCCAGCACCTTGGGAGGCCATGGTGGGTGGATCACCCGAGGTCAGGAGTTTGAGACCAGCCTGACCAACATGGTGAAACCCCGTCTCTACTAAAATACAAAAATTAGCCAGGCATGGTGGTGGGCACCTGTAATCTCAGCTGCTCGGGAGGCTGAGACGGGAGAATCGCTTGAACCCAGGAGGCAGTGGTTGCAGTGAGTTGAGATCGTGCCATTGCACTCCAGCCTGGGCAACAAGAGCGAAACTCCATCTCAAAAAAAAAATTCCTGGGCTAATTCGGAGGTTTATGGGTTAAAAAAAGGCAAAAATTGCTTTGTACCTCTTCAGAGGAAGAAAGAATGTAAAAACTGTGGGAAGTAAAAGTAGTTCCATTGCTTTGAATGTGTTTCATTGTATGTGTCACAATTTAAACAAGTTTTCCTTTTTGTTTTGTAGGCAAATCGTACTTGCCCAATTTGCCGAGCTGATGCTTCAGAAGTGCATCGGGATTCAGAATGACCAACCTAAGAAGCACAAATTTAGTTTGGGTGTTCCTCATCACATGTATATACGGACTATCCATTGAACTTAATCTGTGTGGCTTCCAGCCCTCCCTTTACCAAAAGGGTCAATGGACCTTTCTTTGCACTGTGTGACTTAATCAACTATAAAAGCTTACAATTAGTCTTCACAGTTATGGGATTGTTATACTAACCGTGTGATTGGAACTCCAAAGACTTTTTCTTTAGCTTAATTTTGTGTGTGCACTAACATTCCCTGGTTTTTGTGTGATCATTCCGAGTGTTGCTGCAAGATTACAGTGGACGTGATCTTTTAGCATGTGCTTTTATAAAAAGTGGTAGCTACAGATGATATAGCAATCTACCTTATATAGAGCCTTCAGAAACTGTGAGTGGAAATGAATGCGCAGCGTATGACTGTTGGTGATAAGTGTATCTGTGTGAGTGTGTGCAACTACTTGTGTGAGGGCATGGTAGCTAACGTGTGTATGAGATCCTATATACCAGCATGTACCAAGAATGTGTGTGTAGTTTTAATTATGCTGCAATGTATAATCTGGTGTGTTATTTAAACAGCACTAGTACTGTACACTGGTTTTTTTCCCTTGTGTTTGCTGTTGCACACTGATTGCTGAGGGTGCATCAATTACAAGCATTGAATACTCCATCCCCTTCCCTCCCAGTGAATGGAATGAGAAAAGCCTTCTTCCTTTGCTTCAGGCAGCTGTCACCTTCTCTTTATTGGTGGTCCTAAGTGGGTCACTTAAGAAAAAAAAGTGTAACAAATTCTCGCTCCATGAACCTGGTTTTTTTTTATTCTGTTGTGGAAATTTTTAAATCTCCAACTTGCTGTTTCCAAAAAGAAGGTGCAATATCATATATCATCAGTTAGCAATATTAGCATTTCAATCAGTGATTTGAATGTTGATACTTTTTTTTCCTTTACATTTCCAGTAAGTTTCTTACAGAAAGTACCTGTGATTTTTTTTAATGTTTAGATTTGTAGTCTAGTCTATTCTGAAGATATTTGATTAATATATTTCTAAGAAGACCACTAGTCCCATGAAGTCTCACCTTGTTGACTTCCACCAGAACAAAACCTGTTAATTCAGCTTGACTTCTCATATGTGTTCTGTGTTCAAGCTCCTGTGGGCAACTCAATTGTTTTAAGAAAACTCTATTTCTGTTCATATTAATTCACTTGCCAGACTCCAATTCTGAAAGTTGTCTAGTTCTTCCTTCATCACACGTGCTTCTCATCGAAACCCTGGTTTCAGGATGGATCAAGTGCTGTTACAGCTCATGTTCCTTAGACCTGATTTGTTTTGATATTTTACTGCCTTTCCTTTTAATTTTTGTTTGAATGAGAAAAGTTTAATACAACAGGTGTCCAGAATACTTGCAGTATAAATGAAGATTTGGTTTTTGTATAAAAAAATAATGCTGTTAAACAGGAGTTGACCTTCATTTAGTTGATGTAATACATAGCTGTATGGGGTTTTTTTTAGTAAGTTCTTTGAGCATAATTCACTTTAAAGTCATTTTTCCAGCAATGTTTAAATTACTTTCTCATTCTTTTAGTGTATTCAACATTGTCTGCCTCTTCCTGCAGTTGATGTAATTGCTTTGTTTGCAATAGCACAAGCTGCATTATTCCAGTCAGGACTGTGATAACTTGCTGCCAGCCCCACTCAACTTTCAGTTGGCTCTGTGTCAGTTTTCCATTCAGTGTTAACTACTTGTTACTGCCATGCTGCTTGCCCTCCCTTGAAGTGTCTATAAGCTCATCACAGCCTAGAGTTAAGTAAAGTCAATTCACAGAAGCACAATTTTGCCCTTTGCGAGACATTGTTGCCTCTATCTAGTCCTACAAGTAGGGTTTTGCATACTGTGTTTGCCCCTAGGGTTGTCAGTGCATCAGAAATACTTCTAAATAGTGGTAAAAATGCACATGGTTAATGCACATGTTACTTTTAAATCATTAGGATATCCCTCACCTGTTCCTGATGAATAAAAAGTGTGTTAAAGACCAAAATTCTTGGCATAATAATCAGCTACATACAAATCACATATAGTTTAATCTTTTTTAATGAAAAAAAATCATGTTTAAAATGGCAAAAGCCCATCTTATACACTTTTATATAGCTGCAAAAAATTTATATCTGTACAGATCTAACACTACGACACTCAGTATTCATTTTATTGAAGCATGCAAGTAAAGCACTTTTTCTAATTTATATAGAGGTATCTAATTAACACAGCACATTGTACTAATGACTAGGAGTAGCAGCTTTTTCTTCTCTCCCTCTATGAATTCTTATAATGTCCCTTTTTCTGTAAGTTTTTGAGAGGCAATTGGCAATTTAGGAGGCAGCAGGGTCTGTTTTGGTCAAATCTTGAATTTCGTTGTTGCACTCTAGTGACTGATCTTTGGGAATGTCTTGTCTTTGCATGGGGCTCATAGAGATGTGTGCAGACTTGCTTATTGTGGTTAGTGTGTATCAGGAACACACACACAGGTGTTCTGACCAGCTCAGGCTTGCCACAGTGAGCAACTCTGTGGCTAGCAAAAGAGAAGTTTATTTGTGCCCAGCCATTGGTCACCTTGGGTGATGCACCAGATAGCAGGCAGATGTTGGTTCATTGGCCTTCGTCCTCTTTCCTCCTAAAATAATATTGGCTTTACCATCTTAACTCAGCTGTGGGTTTTTTGTGGGTTCTTGTTTGTTTTTTGGCATGAATTGTCATCTTTGGTGTTTTTTTAACCCCCAGCCCCTCAAAAAAATAAGGCCTCCAGGTATCAAGATCTCATATTAGGATTTTCTGTCCTTAATTTTTTGAGCAAAATCTGGAAAATGTGAAAGCATATTTAGATTTTATATACTATCTGAAATGTGATTTGTTAAGATTCTTAAATTTGGGCCTCTTAGAATAATTTTGAATGAGATCTACCGACTCACTTGTGAGAATATTTTTCACAGATTATCTTTGGGCCTTTTCATTAGAAAGCTGTTTGTTTGTCCCCCTGTTGGTACATTTGGTTACCTCATTTTGCCGTTTCAGATTGTGAAAGCTCACAGGGGTGTTTTTTGGAATCATTTGCTGAGTCATTTTCTCAAATCATATTCCATTGTATCAGTTAACATATAGTTTTAAATGTATGTATTATAAATATCTGTAACCAAATCATTTGAAGGCTTGATAAATTTTTAACAAAGTTTGTACATTTTTTATGAAAGTTACTAGTAATGCTTTACTAAGTAGTGCAATGAATTTTTATTTTTAATCCCTGTGCCCAATTTTGGAGTTGAGAGGGTTGTTGGTAATAAATGTATGATGTACACTTAAAACATCTGTTGTGTTTCATGTCACTGTGTTAGGGATGGGGAAGGGTTGTATATGCATGGGGATGGAGAGATAGATAGCAGCAGGAAGATAGAGCTGGGTTGAATTACTGGCTGCCAGATTCTGTATTTCTGCATTTGTGTAAACAACTTAGAAATGCAAAAGTAACTAGCGTTGTAACATATGGTACATATTTATATATTTTATATATATATATATATATATATTTTTTTTTTTTTTTTTTTTTGAGACAGAATCTCACTCTGTCACCCATGCTGGGGTGCTCAATCTCAGCTCACTGTAACCTCTGCAGCCCTGGTTCAAGCGATTCTCCTGCCTCAGTCTCCCAAGTAGCTGGGATCCCGCCACTGTGCCTGGCTAATTTTTGTATTTTTAGTAGAGACAGGGTTTCACCATTTTGGCCAGGCTGGTCTTGAACTCCTGACCTCGTGATCCACCCACCTCAGCCTCCCAAAGTGCTGGGATTATAGGCGTGAGCCACCGCGCCCGGCCATATTTATATTTTTATAAAGGCCAAGAACATAGCAGAAAGAGTATAGCCAAACATGGTATATGCATATTGAACAGTAGAGATACATAAGTAGAGCCTGGCAACATAGTGAGACCCCCATCTCTACAAAAATGTTTTAAAAATTAGCTGGGCCTGGTGGCGCACACCTATAGTCCTAGCTACTTAGAAGTCTGAGGTTGGAGGATCACTTGAGCCCAGGAATTTGAGGTTACAGTGAGCTATATTTGTGCCACTGCACTCCAGCCTGGGCAATAGCAAGAAGACCCTGTCTCTTCAGGAAAAATAAAAAATAAAAGGCTGGGTGTGGTGGCTCACACCTGTAGTCCTGGCACTTTGGGAGGCTGAGTTGGGCGGATCATGAGGTCAGGAGTTCAAGACCAGCCTGGCCAACCTGGTGAAACCCTGTCTCACTAAAAATACAAAAATTAGCCAGGCATGGTGGCACATGTCTGTAATCCCAGCTACTTGGGAGGCTGAGGCGGGAGAATCACTTGAACCAGGGAGGCGTAGGTTGCGGTGAGCCAAGATCGTGCCACTGCACTCCAGCCTGGGTGACAGCAAGACTCCATCTTGGGAAGGCGGTAAAAAAAAAAAAAAGATAACGTAGGTAACTAGAATTCAACTAGAGTTCTTTCTACAAGACTGCAATAGACAACTATTTAGATTTGTCCACATTAGCTACAGTTTATATACAACTTACTGTCAACATAATATGGAAGGAGGAGCCTCTGCTTGTCATTTTCCATATATGTTTGTATAATAGTTTTCCTTTGACTAAAAAAGGAAGGAAATATAAACAATCTACATAGGCTTTGTTAATTAAGATTTTACCCTCTTGACTGGCTCCAGTACTCCTCTGACAGAAGTGACCACATCCTGATTTTATTCCCTCCTTTTTCCAACATACGTAGAAGAGTACTTGTGTTTAACTTTGAATGTTTCAAGAAACCCAAAACTTAACACCATGTCTTATGACAGAGGCATTTACTGCTAAGTACCCATGCACTATCCCAAGTCACCCTACTTACATAAGTCATGGAGGGGCATGGTTCTGGCCAAGGGCCTGTAAGCATAGGCTATGTGGCCTTTCCATGCAGAAGCATATATAAAAGCCAGCTCTCTTCGTCTGCTTGGGTAGTGGCGGCCTGAGTCACTCCCTAGAAAAGAGTTGTGTTTTTTGTTTTGTTTTGTTTTTTTCCCCTGCTCTGTCCCCCAGGCTGGAGTGCAGTGACGTGATCTCGGCTCACGGCAACCTCTGTCTCCTGGGTTCAAGTGATTCTCCTGCTTCAGCCTCCCGAGTAGCTGGGATTCAAAGTATGTGCCACAACACCCATCTAATTTTTGTATTTTTAGTAAAGACGGGGTTTTGCCATGTTGGCCAGGCTGGTCTCAAACTCCTGACCTCAGGTGATTCACCCGCCTCAGCCTCCCAAAGTGCTGGGGTTACAGGCATGAGCCACTGCGCCTGGCCGGGAGGATGAGATTCTTATGAATGGGATCACATCACACAGCCAATGTTTCAGCTCTCTTGTACACTTTAATGAACTGGATGAACAAGGCCGTTCAATAAAGTGTAATTAGCCACATGATTTTAAATTTTGTGAGCCACATTAAAAACAGTTGAAATTATTTTTAATATTCAGTCCAATATGCCAAAATATTTCTACTGTAATATTAAGATACTTTATATTTTCTCATACCAAGTCTTTGAAATCCAGTGTGTATGTTACATTGATGATGCATCTCAGTTTGGACCAGCCACATTTCAAATGCTCAGTAGCCACACGTGCATAGTGGCCAAGTTAGATGGCACAGGTCTAGACCAGAACTATGCAGAGTTAACCTGGTTTCTAAAGAGTTGAACGTTACTCGTGAGATCCCAAGATGACTTTCTATTATTGTATGCCTTAACAAACTACAGTATGATTTTAAAACATTTTATTCTATATATAGTTGAATGTAACTTTTGTTGCTACAATACATTAGAAAATACTCATTTTTAAAGCAGTCTTAATTTCTCTGAAGCTGCCATAGATTCAAGAACAAAGCTCCTTGTTTGTCAGTAAATCTTCAGATATATTTGCTTGAATTCACAGCTATTTAAAATAATTGGGCCAGGCACAGTGGCTCCCGTCTGTAATCCCAGTACTTTGGAGGCCAAGGTGGGTGGATCACTTGAGGCCAGGAGTTCAAGACCAGCCTAGCCAACATGGTGAAACCCCATCTCTACTAAACATACAAAAAAAAAAAAAAAGGGCTGGGCATGGTGGCTCACGCCTGTAATCCCAACACTTTGGGAGGCCAAGGCAGGCGGATCATGCGGTCAAGAGATCGAGACCATCCTGGCAAACATGGTGAAACCCTGTCTCTACTAAAAATATAAAAATTTGCTGGGTGTGGTGGCGCATGTCTGTAGTCCCAGCTACTTGGGAGGCTGAGGCAGGAGAATCATTTGAACCCAGGAGGTAGAGGTTGCAGTGAGCTGAGATCGCACCACTGCACTCCAGCCTGGTGACCCAGCGAGACTCCATCTCAAAAAAAAGAAAAAGCCGGGCGAGGTAGCAGATGCCTACTGTAATCCCAGCTACTCGGGAGGCTGAGGCAGGAGAATCACTTGAACCCAGGAGGCAGAGGTTGCAGTGAGCCAAGATCATGTCACTGCACTCCAGTCTGGGCAACAGAGTGAGACTCCGTCTCAAAAAAAAAAATAATTTGATCCTCATAAAATTCAGCATTCCAAAGAATTGGGGGTAGGAAACTTGAGCCCCACTTTGAGATGGGGTGGATTCCTCTTGAGATACTCTACAGCACACATACTCTTGACCTTTTCATGTATCTCTGTCTCCTAATTTGGCAGGAAATATAGGAAAAGGAACAAGGGAAAAACATAGTGACAGCCAGGAATATTGAATGTCACCTTATAATCTGAAAATATGTGGTAGAATTAGTTTGGATGTTTTCCCACTATATAGAAGAAGTGACTTGTTCAGGAAGAAGAAATCCACATCCCCTTCAAATGTCTAGTTCTTGGTCTACACATGGGAACAATACATGGTGACTGGTTAATAACCAATGGTCCACACCTAGGAGTCTGCCAGGACCCACTAGTCTGGCTAAATAAGGTGGTTATTGTATATCTTCTGGTGAAGAGTTCTCCAGTTGGGTGTGGTGGCTCACACCTGTAATCTCAGCACTTTGAGAGGCTGAGTCTGGCTGATGGCTTGAGCTCAGGAGTTTGAGACCAGGCTGGTCAACATGGCGAAACCTCATCTCTACAAAAAATACCAAAAAAAAAAAAAAAGCCGGACGTGATGGTGCACATCTGTAGTCCAGGCTACTAGGGAGGCTGAGGCAGGAGAATTGCCTGAGCCCAGGAGGTGGAGGCTGCAGTGAGCTCTGATCATGCCACTGCACTCCAGCCTGGATGACAGAGTGAGGCCCTGTCTTTAAAAAAAAAAAAATTCTCCAAATGTGTGCTGAGGCAGATTTCTGATAGTTCAAACTTAACCCTAGTATGATAGACATTTCTGTAGTCAGTGTAAGCAGTATGGTATCCAGACATCCTAATTGGCTCTTTTTCTCCTTTTCTGCTTTTGGACATCAGTACTAAACTTAAGCTGAATCAGAGGAAAATAACAACTCATCTACCAAAATAAGGCCGGTCCCCTTGCCAATAAAAAATGTGTCACTATCCATGGTGATTCACACTCAGAATGCCCCAGCCTTGATGCCATTAAAGAGGAAAATAGGTCACATTTACTCTAATTCCAGAAGATCTACAGGAAACTGGGACCATCTCTCTGATCCAAGCTACTAAATTTTAGTTAGGGAAACAAATCAGGAAAAAGAGCTCACGTTCAGTTATTCTTGTTCAACACACACAAAGAGAGGTCCAGGTCCTTGCTAAGGAATATTCACAACCTAACTCAGCTCCGCGAGCTTTTATTGAGCACCAGCTTATGCCAGGCAGCTTTGAAATCAGGTCTTTAGTGTATTCATTTCTTAGTGCTGCCATAACAAGTTACCACAAATGTGATGGCTTAAAGCAAAGTTATTCTCTCATAGTTGAGGCCACAAGTTAAAAGTCAAGATGTTGGCAGAGTTGGTTTTCTGTGATGGCTCTGGGGGAGAATTCATTCCATGCCTTTCCTAGTTTCTGATGGCTGCTAGCAACCCTTGGCTTATCTTGGCTTGTAGACATAACTCCAATCTCTGCTTCTGTCTTCACATGGCCACCTCCCACGTGTGTATCTTCTTCAGCTGGGTGGAAGTTCCCATGCCTCTACATAGATGTCAGCAATAAGATCGGCTGTAGGGATACTTGAAAGAAAAGCCCAATTCAGGCCGGGTACGGTGGCTCATCCCTGAAATCCCAGCATTTTGGGAGGCCGAGGCAAGCAGATCACCTGAGGTTGGGAGTTTGAGACCAGCCTGACCAACATGGAGAAATCCCATCTCTACTAAAAATACAAAATTAGTCAGGCATCGTGGCACATGCCTGTAATCCCAGCTACTCGGGAGGCTGAGGTAGGAGAATCACTTGAGCCCGGGAGGTGGAGGTTGTGATGACCAAGATTGTGCCATTGCACTCCAGCCTGGGCAACAAGAGCGAAAACCCCTCTCAAAAAATAGCCAGATTTGTTTCAACTCAATAAATCATTTGGATCTGTTCCAACAAATGAACTTGAGACTTCAGAATGTCTCATCATAAAGGATGGCCAAAATAATTTGGCCTAGAAAATGTTAACAAAGCTCACTCATTCCTGCAGTCAAAGATAAACCTCAGTCATGCTCTCACAGATTGATTTAGAGTAGCACTGCTTCCTGGTAGGTCCATGAAGATAAATTCACTATGAAATGTATCATCAGATAGATGAGCTTAAAGGGAATAGGAAGCCTACAACCTGTGTCCCACATGGAGAATCAAAATCTAGTGAACCTTGAAGACATGCTAAGTGAAAGCAGCCAGACACAAAAGGCCACTTATTGTATGATTCTGTTTATTTTTATTTTATTATTTTTTGAGACAGAGTCTCGCTCTGTCGCCCAGGCTGGAGTGCAGTGGCGCGATCTCTGCTCACTGCAAGCTCCGCCTCCCGGGTTCACGCCACTCTCCTGCCTCAGCCTCCCTAGTAGCTGGGATTACAGGCGTCGCCACCACACCCAGCTAATTTTTTGTATTTTTAGTAGAGACAGGGTTTCACCGTGTTAGCCAGGATGGTCTCGATCTCCTGACCTTGTGATCTGCTAGCCTCGGCCTCCCAAAGTGCTGGGATTACAGGCGTGAGCCACCGTGCCTGGCCTGTATGATTCTGTTTATATGAAATGTTAAGAATTGGCAACTCTACAGAGAAAGTATTAATAGATCAGTGGTAGACTAGAGCTGAGGGGATGGTGGAGTTGAGGGTGATAATGAAAGGCTATAAAGTTTATTTGGGGGGTAATGAAAATGTTCTAAAATTGATTATGGTGATGGATGACAACTCCAAGTATACTGGAAGCCACTGAATTGTACACAGTAAGTGGATCAATTGTATGGTGCAATTATCTATAATTGAACTGTGTCTTAATAAAGCTGCTTTTAAAAAGTACGATGACATATACCCACCAGAAAATATCTATAATTAGAAAGATTAACAATACCATATGTTGGTGAGGATGTGAAGCAAACTGAAATTCTCATCTGCTGTTGATGGTAATATAAATTGGAACAACCAATTTAGACAACTGGTTGGCATTGTCTACTAAAGTTCATGCGCTATAACCCAGTCATTCTTCTTCTAGGTATATTCCTAATAAAATGCATGCATATGGGCACCAAAAGGCATGTACAATAATGTTCATAGCAGGCTATAAAAGCCCAACCCTGGAAACAATCCAAATGTTTATCGACCATAGGACTGATGATAAATTATGGTTGAGCTTTACAATGGTTTTTATACAGCAAAGAGAAAACCAACTACACCAAGCAACATGGGTAAATGTTGCTAATGTATTGAATAAGATCCAAAAGAACACACTCTTGTGTCTTATTCAATATACTTGTGAGAATATTCTTACAAATTGTTCCAGTCATAGAAATATCAACAAGCAGAATTGATCTGTGATGTGAGAAGACGTGACCGTGATTACCCTAGCCAGGCAGTCGTGACCTACAGGAGTTCAGGGCATGAGGAGGCATCTGGGCTGTCAGTCATTTTTTATTTGTTGATCTACGTGCTTGGTTACACAAATGGTTCAATTTGAGAAATTCATTGTTCAATCTTCTGTATCATTTTATAAACTTTTTTTTTTGAGTTTTGCTCTTGTTGCCCAGGCTGAAGTGCAGTGGCGCGATCTCGACTCACTGCAGTGTCCGCCTTCCAGGTTCAAGTGATTCTCCTGCCTCAGCCTCCCAAGTAGCTGGAACTACAGGCATGCGCCACCATGCCCGGCTAATTTTTTTTTGTATTTTTAGTAGAGACAGGGTTTCTCCATGTTGGTTGGTCAGGCTGGTTTCGAATTCCTCAGGTGATCTGCCCGCCTCGGACTCCCAAAGTGCTGAGATTACAGGCATGAGCCACCGCACCCGGCTATAAATTTCATTAAAAAAATAAGTGGTAGACCCCACTCTGTGACACTTTATAGAAGTACAGCTGTACAATGCAAGGGCAGATGAATTTTTATCATCTTAAATGACAGCTTTATCAATATCCCTAATGCTGTACTACATAAAACCTAAACAAGTCCTCCATATCACTTTCCTCATCCCAAAACATGTTTTTAACTTGCTTTTTAAGTAAAAAAGTATCAGAGCAGCAATATTTCTATTAGAATATTGCCACTATGCTAGTAAAGTATTTATGCATGACATTTACACCAGGAGGCGCTGTTGTTCAAAACCAAGTTCCAAATACAGTACAAGCTTCTTAATGCACAGGTCAGGACTGACACGGTTATAAACAGTTAATGTGCTTTCATATTGCTTTTATTCGTGGAAAGCATACATTAGAAATCTGCCTGCCAGAATAGTCCAGGATCGCTACAGCTTACAACCTCATTCCTTCTTGAGCAATGTTGTGTTTATTCCCTGCAGAGTGGGGCTTCTAAAAGTTTATGTGGTTTTTGAATATTTAATAACGGATTTTTTTTTTCTGGTTGTATTCTTTTTTTTTCTTTTGAGACAGAGTCTCATTCTGTCGCCCAGGCTGGAGTGCAGTGGTATGATCTCAGCTCACTGCAAACTCCACCTCCCGGGTTCAAGTGATTCTCCTGCCTCAGCCTCCCGAGTAGCTGGGATTACAGGCACCCACTATGACACCCGGCTAATTTTTGTATTTTTAGTAGAGACAGGGTTTCACCATGTTGGACAGGCTGGTCTCGAACTCCTGACCTCAAGTGATCCGCCCGCCTCAGCCTCCCAAAGTGCTGGGATTACAGGCGTGAGGCACCGTGCCTAGCTTTGGTTGCATTCCAAAATGCAAATTTGTTTAGCTTTAAAATCAAGCCTCCTCTGTGCTGAACAAGACTGATTGCTGCATATGAATTCCACTCCCATGCTCCTTCCACAGTGCCATAGGTACGGTTGAGACTGGAGCTACCATGTCGGCCGAGGCCTGCCTCTCCCAACCACAGGTTTGCCAGTGGCTTCCTAAATGTCAGGTCTAATAAACACGTTCCAGTCTTTGTGCTGCTGGACTGCTCTGTGGTGTGAGACTCTCTGCATATCGAGGTGTGGAGGCCTGGCAGGGACAGGCCAGAGGAAGGCTGCTGCGGCTCCCATGACTCGCCCTTTGGCTGTCATGTGATACTCCTCTCACTAAATCCTCAGTGTTGCTCTCTGAGTTCTTTCTCCTGAGTTTCTTTTTCTCTGGCCCACCCGTTCCCATCAGGGCTCACCAGGATATGACCCTCACCATTTTCCCATTCTGCGCACTCTTCCTGGAGCTAGTGCATCCTCTCCTACTTGCATCAGCAACCTTTTTACAGTTCCCCTAACACAGAGATTCCTATCTCCAGTCCCACTTCTCCTTGTGTTTCCTGCTAAACATCTCCTCCTGAAGTTATCCTCCTGAATATCCTGTAGGCCAAGTTGTCCAACCCATGGCCCGCGGGCCCACATGCAGCCCGGGACAGCTTTGAATGTGGCCCAACACAAATTCCTTATCTTTCTTAAAACATGAGATTTTTTGGCAATTTTTTTTCAGCTCATCAGCTATCATTAGTGATAGAGTTTTATGTGCGGCCCAGAAAAGCCAAAAGATTGGACACCCCAGCTGTAGGCACTCAAACTCAACATATCCAAATATGGACTCTTCAAACTTCCCCGCAAACACATTTCTTCTCCTGTACTGCCTGGCTCCATTGCTGGCCTACCATTCACCGGATACCCTAGCCAGAAACAGGAGGGTCATCCTTGACTCTTTCATCTTCTGCCTCCCCAACGCCTAGTGAACGGTCCTTTCCTCTCCCTTTCCTCCACAGCCCTAGTTCAGGCCCCATCATCTCCTGCCTTTCCACGATCTCGCTTCCTGCTTTGTACCCCTCACTTTCATATTCAGACCTCTGCACAGCCTCCAGAGGGAATCACTCAAATACAACCTGATCGTGGCCCCTTTACCCCCGACTCCCACCCATAGCTCCAAACCCTTAAATGGCTCTCCCCTGCCACAGGACAAAGTCCAATCTTATTAGATGCTCCCCTTCGCAACAAGAGCCTTCTTAACCTGCTCCTGATGATGGCTCCAGCCTTGGCTGCCAGGACTCCCTTGCCCGGCATACTACACTCTGGCAGCGTCAGCCTGTTCCCAGTTCCCCGAGACACACTGGGCCCCACATTCCCCTCTGCCTGGAAGTCCTCTTCCTCCCTCCTCTGTCTTCTCCCCTGACTCAATTCTGGTATCCCCTCCTCCAGGAAACCTTTCCTGAATCTTATAAGCCAGGGAGCAAGACGCTCTACACCCTCCTCCTGTTGTGAGCTTGCCAAGTTCTCATTTTTTCCCTTCCCTGGGTGGAAAGGTGTGCTTTCCACTAACCTGCAAGCATCTTGTGCTGGCACTGACTCATGCCTTTACCTCTAGAGCCCAGCACAGGGCCTGGCACATAGCAGGGGTTGAATAAATGCGTGTGTGTGTGTGTGTGTGTGTGTGTGTGTGTGTGTGTGTGTATGTGACAGAGTCTCGCTGTGTCACCCAGGCTGAAGTTCAGTGGCGCAATCTCGGCTCACTGTAACCTCTGCCTCCCAGGCTCAAGCGATTCTCCTGCCTCAGCCTCCCAAGTAGCTGGAATTACAGGTGCACACCACCACCGCCTGGCTAATTTTTGTATTTTTAGTAGAGATGGGTTTCACCATGTTGGCCAGGCTGGTCTCAAACTCCTGACCTCAAGCGATCTGCCTGCCTCGGCCTCCCAAAGTGCTGGGATTACAGGCTTGAGCCACTGCAGGCCAAATAAATGTTTCTTGAATGAAGGAGTGGAGAATAACACTTGGGCTCGAACTGGTTAGGGGGCTGGTGGGAACAGTCCCGTAAGGAGTGAATATTAGAGGAGCAGGTTTTGAGAAGAGTAAGGAAGGAGAGCAGAGTACCCATGAGTGAGGAGGACTGGACTTCACGTGCTGGGAGGTGCCCAGGGCACACGCAAGGGCAGATGTCCAACAGACAAGCTGGATGACCAGACTTAGAGCTCTAGAGAGAAGCCTGGGCAACTGGGTGTTAGCGTGTAATTGTGGCAGCTAAGACAAGGCTGACTTCAGGAGGCCTCAGAAGGAAGCCTCCTTTTTTAAGAGAGGACTACCCCTTTTACTACTAGAGGAAGATTCCTCCCTTCCAGATTAGATCCAGGGTGAAGGCCTTCTTGGGAAAGGCCTCAGGGGCTGTCGAGGGCCTCCAGACAGGTGAGGAGCCACCTGTGCCATCCCAGGGCTGCCTGGGGGCCTTGGGCCAACAACACCTTCTTCAGGACCCTGGGCCTGCTGAGCTGGGCAGGGCTCCTCTCAGCTCTGAGTGATGCACTGCGGAGGCCTGGCAGAGACAGGCCAGAGGAAGGCTGCCGCGGCTCCCATGACTTGCCCAATTCTGGGTGAACCACCTTCCTGGTCTTGTGTATCTAATGAATTAGGTTCAAGTCAGTCATTATTAATCCAGACAGAGTTGACAGCCACCCCGACATACCGCACGCACACAGAAACTGCAACCAGCAACAAGCCCTGGCCCGTGCACAGAACTCAGATGACATCAGCTCCTCGACCGTCCAGGGTCCATGGGGCCCATTGTCCAGAGAGGGCATCGCCTGTCCCACAGGGACTGGCTCATCGAGACTCTTCCTAGGAATCTACCACCCAAACCTGACTTGGAACCAAAGGCCATGCTGGAGGGAAATGCCCCAGAGTCTCATCTCACAAAGATGTGGACGGAAGCTCAGGCCCAGGCAGCCCCAGAGTCTCATCTCACAAAGATGTGGACGGAAACCCAGGCCCAGGCAGCTATTTCTTGAAGCTCCTCAGTGCACTCGGTGAATTGCACAATAAGTAGCCGTAGGGGCTGCTTGGACAAAATGGCTGTGATGAGAGAAAAAGCAGGAAGCTGGCAGAAGTTGTAGGCACAAAGCTGCTGTCACAGCAATCCACCCGTAGGAAGTCCCTGGCCGACCTCACAGGGGCTCGCTCCCTGCTGCTGATCTGCAACGCTAGTTCCGCTTCCGGGCTATCGGCGCAGCTCATAATGACTCTATCCGCTGAGGCCCTCGGGAGTGGGGCCAGGTCAGCGTCCATTTTGTATGACATGACGTGCCCCCTGTGCCCATGGGTGTGCCTTCTCTAGGATTTTGGAACTGAGGGAGGAAGAAAAGAACAGTGATGGCCAGGCGTGGTGGCTCAGGCCTGTAATCGCAGCACTTTGGGAGGCTGAGGCCAGGAGATCGAGATCAGCCTGGCCAACATGGCGAAACCCCGTCTCTACTAAAAATAACAAAAATTAGCTGGGCGTGGTGGCAGGCACCTGTAGTCCCAGCTACTCGGGAGGCTGAGGCAGGAGAATCGCTTGAACCTGGGTGGCAGAGGTTGCAGTGAGCTGAGATCGCACCACTGCACTCCAGCCTGGGTGACAGAGCGAGACTCTATCTCAAAAAAAAAAAAAACCAGGAAAAAAACAAAACAAAAAAAACCAGTAACCGTAGTGGCCACCTTTTCCTGCCGCAAGGCCTAGAGGAGCAGAGAGAGCCTGACTGCAGGAAAAGAGAAGAACAGAGCAGAGACGGAGAGGAGCAGAGAGGGAAGCAGAGCACCCCGATGGAGCATGACCAATGGTCCCTGGTCGTGTCCTACCTGGACCTCAGCTCTCAAGCTCCATGAGACACCCGTGGATCCTTAGGACGAATTCCCCAAGTTTTGGTTTTTATTTTTGAGACAGGGTCTTGCTCCTAGGCTCAAGTCATTGTCCCACTTCAGCCTCCCAAGTAGCTGGAACCACAGGTTTGTGCCACCACTCCCGGCTAATTTTTTAAATTTTTTGTAGAGACAAGAGGTCTCATTATGTTGCTCAGGTTGGCCTCAAACTCCTGAGCTCTAGCAATCTGCCCGCCTCATCCTCCCAAAGTGCTAGGATTACAGGGGTGAGCCACCGCGCCCAGCCAGTTCCCCATGTTTTGACTTGGTAACATAACTCCAATTCGTTGAGAATCCTTATTAACACCAGAGACGTGCCACTAATTAGCAGCGTGTCCATGGGTCATTTGTGTAACCTCTTCAGGCATCATTTCCTCATCTAGCATGTGGGGATACGAAGATACTTCGCAGGATCAAAGGGACGCAAATAACTGAGTGAGAATGAAAGTGCCAACTACGGTATACCCACATGGCAGGCTCATTAACCAACAGCTTTCCTGTGTGAAGACACCTCCAAAGGTCTGGAGAGAAGGTCCTGGAATCATTCACGTATTAATGATACGTGGTTGAAACTCAGCACTGAATGAAAAATCGATTATTTTGCCCTCTAGAGCATTCAGTTTCTTCTAAATCAAAAGAAGCAATATTGTCTTCCGGACTAAGTTCTTGGGTTTACAAATCTAGACATTTTGTCTAATGAACATTTTTCATTGCCTACCAGTAACCATCCCCATTCCTCAAGGCAAATTATCCAATAAAGATAGAGAGCACAAGTCTTTTTTTTTTTTTTTTTTTTTTTTGAGACCAAGTTTCATTCTTGTCACCCAGGCTGGAGTGCACTGGCATGATCTCAGCTCACTGCAACCTCTGCCTCCCTGGTTCAAGCAATTCTCCTGCCTCAGCCTCCTGAGTAGCTGGGATTACAAGTGTGCACCATCATGCCCGGCTAATTTTTGTATTTTTAGTAGAGACAGGGTTTCACCACATTGGCCAGGCTGGTCTTGAACTCCTGACCTCAAGTCATCCACCTGCCTCGGCCTCCCAAAGTGCTGGGATTACAGGTGTGAGCCACCATACCCAGCCAGAGAAACCTTTTTTTTTTTTTTTTTGAGACAGGGTCTTCGCTCTGTCACCCAGGCTGGAGTGCAGTGGTGCAATCTCAACTCACTGCAACCTCCGCCTCCTGGGTTCAAGTGATTCTCCTGCCTCAGCCTCCTGAGTAGCTGGGATCACAGGCACCTGCCAGCATGCCCAGCTAATTTTTGTATGTTTAGTAGAGACGGGGTTTCACCATGTGGGCCAGGCTGGTCTTGAACTCCTGACCTCAGGTGATCCACCTGCCTTGGCCTCCCAAAGTGCTGGGATTACAGGCGTGAGCCACCGCGCCCAGTGGAGTCTTTTTTTTTTTTTTTTTTTTTAAGATGAGGCTCTATGTTATCCAGGCTGGTCTCAAACTCCTGGGCTAAGGGATCTTCCCACCTCATCCTCCTAGGTAGCTAGGATTACAGGCACACGCCATGGCACTCAGCTTTGAAGCCTTTTATAACCTATAGTAACCTTATAACCTAATTGTGGAAGTGACTTGCCATCCCTTTGCTATATTCTTTGGTCGCACAGGCCAATCCTGGTGCACTGTGGGAAGGGACTGCCTAAGGGTGTGGATATCAAGAGGCTGGGATCCCTGGGGCCATCTTGGATGCTGCCTACTACAGAGAATACGTTTCAAGATTTCCTATCAAAATATCCCTGAGGGCAGAGGGGAATGACTGTGAATGGACTCTGCAGGGCCTGCAGGTTTGGCACCAACAGCAAATAGCTCACTACAATGGAGAAATGCCCAGCCAATTTATCCTCTCTTAAGTACATAATAATTACATTACATCCCCGTTACACCAGAAGGTTTAAGTAAATGTGATGCTTTCGGAGCCCTGTGACATACATTGGGTAGGCCCAGTGCTCAACTTCTAGTTTGAAGAGCAGGGCAGGGGAACTTGTTTGGAGACTGGTTAGAGGTCTAGGAAGGCCAAAGTGACAATTGCTTATGAGAATTGGCAACTACAATGCCTGAGGCATTTTTGTTTTTTAACTTATTTTAAGTTCAGGGGTACACGTGCAGGTTTGTTATATAGGTAAACTTGTGTCATGGGGGTTTGTTGTACAGATTATTTTGTCACCCAGACATTAAGTCTTGTATCTATTAGTTATTTTTCCTGACCCTCTCCCTCCTCCCACCCTTCACATCCTGACAGGCCCCAGTGTGTGTTGTTCCCCTCTATGTGTCCTCATCATTTAGCTCCCACTTATAAGTGAGAACATGAGGTATTTGATTTTCTGTTCCTGCATTAGTGTGCTAAAGATAATGGCCTTCAGTTCCATCCATGTTCCTGCAAAGGATATAATCTCATTCTTTTTGATGGCTGCATAGTATTCCATGGTGTATAGGTACCACATTTTCTCTATCCATCTACCACTGATGGGCATTTGGGTTGATTCCGTGTCTTTCCGATTGTGAATAGTGCTGCAATGAACGTATGTGTGCATGTGTCTTTATAATAGAACAATTTGTATTCCTTTGAGTATATACCCAGTAATAGGATTGCTGGGTCGAATTGTATTTCTGTTTTTAGGTCTTTGAAGACTCACCACACTGTCTTCCACAATGGTTGAACTAATTTACACTCCCACCAACAGTGTAAAAGCATTCACTTTTCTCTTCAACCTTGCCAGCTTCTGTTCTTTTTTGGCTTTTTAACAGCCATTCTGACTGGTGTGAGATGGTGTCTTATCATGTTTTTTATTTCAGTTTCTTTAATGATCAGTGATGTTGATTTTTTTTCATATGATTCTTGGCCACATGTATGTCTTCTTTTGAAAAGTGTCTGTTCATATCCTTTGCCCACTTTTTAATGGGGTTGTCTTTTTCTTATAAATTTAAGTTCCTTATAGATGCTGGATATTAGACCTTTGTCAGATGCCTAGTTTGTAAAATTTTTCTCACATTCTGTAGGTTGCATGTTTACTCTGTTGATAGTTTCTTTTCCTGGGCAGAAGCTCTTTAGATTCCATTTGTCAATTTTTGCTTTTGTTGCAATTGCTTTTGGCTTCTTCGTCATGAAATATTTGCCAGTTTCTATGTCTGGAATGGTATTGCCTAGGTTGTGTTCCAGGGTTTTTATAGTTTTGGGTTTTATGTTTAAGTTTTTAATCCATCTTGAGTTAATTTTTGTATATGATATAAGGAAGGGGTCTGGTTTCAATCTTGTGCATATGGCTAGCCAGTTATCCCAGCACCACTTTGAACAGGGAGTCCTTTCCCCATTGCTTGTTTTTGTCAGGTTTGTCAAAGATCAGATGGTTGTAGGTGCGTGGCCTTATTTCTAGGCTATCCTGTGCCATTGGTCTATGTGTCAGTTTTTGTACCAGTACCATGCTGTTTTGGTTACTGCTGCTCTATAGTATAGTTTGAAGTCAGGTGGCATGATGAGAGGCATTGTTTATAATATTAATACTAGCACAGGAGCTCACACATGGGTGTGATGTGTATTGCATGCACACTCACACAACAACCTAATGTCCATCAGTGAAAGCCAGTTAAATAAGTGATGATATAGTTATGTGACTGGACATTAAGATGGGATTATTTCTGTCTCCAATTCAGCTGAGACCTCAAAGTCTGAGAATACATAAAAGATGCATAGTTCCCCTGCATCCCAAGGGAGGGGCTGGATCACACATGCAGAACACACTAAGATATTATGAAACCAGGTCTGCTGGCATTAGCGTTCACCCCATCCTACCCATCAAAGGACAGAAGGGTTGATGAGTCAGTGGAGTGCTGAGGCCTCCCCAGCCCTCCCCACCACACCCCTGGGGAGGTGGGAGGACCTGCCTGGGAGGTGGAGTGGCAGGAGGGAGCAGGCTGGGGGGCACTGCCCAGAAGCTGCCCTCCCACTGCCCAGTGCTTAGTGCCAGTGCTCCCGGACCACACCGAGGGACGAGCTGCTTATTCTCGTGGCCCCATATCAAGATGCAGATAAACTGGGAAAGAAGAGAATTTCTATTTCTGTAACCAGGTGCAGGGAGAAGGCCTGGAAATTATCGCCAGACCAACTCAAAATTTCAAAGTATTCCAGAGCTTATATACCTTCTAAGCTCTATGTGTACGTGTAAGTGTGCATTTATCTAAAGACATAAGTGATTAACTTCTAATCTATAACTAAGGTCTGAGTCCTGAAGACCTTCCTCTGGAGCCTCAGTAAATTGACTTAATCTAAATGGGTCCAGGTGCTGCAGTGATTACCCTTATCTTGTCTCCTACTAAATCACAGAGGTTTGGGGAGTTCCTTCCAACCTCCAATAAACTTGTTCGTGGAGGCCTGGGGAGTTTCTTCAGACCCCCCAATAAAACTTGTTTGTTTAATCCTAAACAGGTTTTGTTAAGAATGCCTTCGTTATTTTGTCATGCTTTAAGGCCCAGGAAAGGCCTAGGCGAAACTCTGGGTGGGGTTTTGTTACATTCCAGCTTTTGTGTAAGGACACTGGCTCTACCAGCTTTTAATATTTAACTTCACCAGTCAGTACTGAAATAGTTGTTACGGAGGCCCGCGTTCCTGAGGCCTGGCCTGCCATACCAGGAGGTTGAAAGGAGTGGAAGAGGAACTCTGATATTTGGATTCAAATACTTCTATATTGTCCAACATAAACATGTTCATATGTTACCAAAAAAAAAGGAAAATAAAGGAGTAAAAAAGCATGTACAATGAGCACCTAATAATTAATAGTTTGTTCTAGGGAGCAGCCCTGGGAAAGCATTTCCAGCAATTTCA
This sequence comes from Homo sapiens, assembly GCF_000001405.40. Lineage (NCBI taxonomy): Eukaryota > Metazoa > Chordata > Mammalia > Primates > Hominidae > Homo > Homo sapiens. Next base: position 36,319,684 of record NC_000009.12, on the reverse strand, counting down.
GATTTTTGTTATGTTTGAATTTTTTTACAATATGCATGTTTTATTTGTAGAAGCAGAAAATAATATCCAAATATAGCATTTTAGAAATAATTATAAAAAGCTACCAGAAGGCCCAGCTCTTCACCCCTCTCCTCCTCCTCCCTCCATTAAACACAGAACTCAGCCCAGCAGGGTAGGGCTGCAGCCCATGGCAGCACTGGGAGAACGCTTCCTTTCTCTGGCTGCCCACACCCAGGATGGGACTTCCAAGCAGGACAGGGAACAGGTCCCTGTTCAGGTCCAGGGATCAGCTGGGACGCCAGCGCCTTGAACCTGACTTCCCCAGGCCAGGACTCAGCCCCCTCCTTGGAACCCCATTGCTCCCCGGACTCTCCCCATCTCAGCCTCTCCCACACTCCACCCGTCTGCCGGCCTGCACCCCAGCTCTGTCCCCTCCTCTCCATCCCCAGTCCACTCACCTTCAGCTGGTAGTGAGCTTTCCCATGAGGAAACTGAGGCACGCTGGGAAAAGGGAGCTACTCCAGGTCAAGCAGCAGCTTAGCAACAGGGCTGGGACCCAGGCTTCCCAGTAGCCGCTATGGTGTGCTTTAAGTAACACCACACACCTGCACAGCTGAGGTGCGCCGCACCTCCCCCTCACTATACTCCTTCATTCCAGATTGAAATGTGCACCATGCTCAGGCAAAAACAAACAAACAAACAAACAAACCAGGCTTTTCTCACAAAATCAAATCAGAAGGTAAGATGTGTGTGGCAGAAACAAGTTTCTTAACTTCCCGAAACCTTATTTTCCTCATGTGGAAAGTGAGTTGAAGAGCTCCTGCCTCATGGCATCGCGGGGGATCTAATGAAACGATGTGGTGCAGCTGGTGCCTCATAACTGGCAGCTGTGGTTTGTTTCTCCCAAAACCCGCCACTCTGGCCCCCAGCCATTCAGGAGCTGTTTTAGGTGGCATTCATTTGGGTGGTGGGGAGCAATGGAACTTTTTCTTTTTTCTGAGACGGGGTCTTGCTGTCGCCCAGGCTGGAGTGCAGTGACGCAATCTCATCTCACTGTAACCTCCTGCTCCCTGTAACCTCTGCCTCCCAGGCTCAAACGATCCTCCCACCTCAGCCTCTCAAGTAGCTGGGACTAGGTGCACACCACCACGCCCAGCTAATATTTGTATTTTTTGGAGGGACGGGGTTTCGCCATCTTGCCCAGTCTGGACTCGAACTTTTGGGCTCAAGCAATCCTCCTGTCTCAGCCTCCCACAGTGCTGGGATTACAGGTGTGAACCACCACGCCCCGTCCCAACGGAACTTTTTCTTCCTCATCCAACAACGTATATATTTGCTCTTCAGTGAGTAAACAGTTGTCCTTTTTTTTTTTTTTTTTAGCAGCACTGGATTCTAGGAAAAATGAAAAATGAAGTGCATGCTTCACTTACTATGCCCCTGTGTAATAAACATCAGCTTTACCGAAGAAGAAACCTGAGGCTGTGTCCACACTGCAGTTATCTTCCTACACTCTCCATTTCTCCTTATTCTACAGATTGGCTGGGGGAAACTGAAGGATATATTCCTGGTGCAGTAAACCTGATGGTCAAACCTTCCCGGAGCTCCAGGGCAGCCAGCTGCTAGGAAGCCTCTCCCCTCTGGCCCACACCCTTCCTGTTGGCTCCTGGCCACACCAACCCATCACCTGGGAGGATGCTGGAGAAACGGGGTTGCCCCAAGAGTCCACGTGTCCTTGACGCATGGCCAGACTCAACAATGGGCTTCTTAATGAAACTGGGAAACTGCAGAGTTCAAGTGGGGGTTGGGTGCTGAACCGTGGCTCATTCCCTCAGGGATCAAATATCAGCAGAGTCATCAGGTAAAGGCCACCAAGTTCACCTTCACCTTCCTGAGGAAAAGACGTTTGGGGTCTCAGCTTTCTTCAGCAGGCAGGGCAGCTCTCCAGCACATGATAGAAGCAGGCTGCGAGTTAGATGGCAGACAGAGGCCGGACACGGTGGCTCACGCCTGTCATCCTAGCACTTTGGGATTATAGGCCAAAGGATCGCTTGAGGCCAGGAGTTTGAGACCAGCCTAGGCAACACAGTGAGATCCCAGCCTCTGTAAAAAATTAGCTCTGCGAGGCCAGGCGCAGTAGCTCACGCCTGTAATCCCAGCACTTTGGGAGGCCCAGGTGGGTGGATCACCTGAGGTCAGGAGTTCGAGACCAGCCTGACCAACATGGAGAAACCCCATCTCTACTAAAAATACAAAATAAGCTGGCCATGGTGGCACATGCGTGTAATCCCAGCTACTCAGGCTGAGGCAGGAGAATTGCTTGAACCCGGAAAGCAGAGGTTGCAGTTAGCCGAGATGGCACCATTGCACCCCAGCCTGGGCAACAAGAGGGAAACTCCATCTCAAAAAAAAAAAAACAAAAAACCGGAGCTCTGCGTGGTGGTGCATGCCTGTAGTCCCAGCTACTCAGGAGGCTGAGGTGGGAGGATCACTTGCAAAGCCGAGTTCCAGGCTGCATTGAGCTGTGATTGCACCACTGCACTCCAGCCTGGGCAACAGAGAGAGACACCGTCTCTTCAAAAAAGCTGACATCTGCTGAGTCTGTCAGGGGCTCGCAGATGTGGGTGGAGGGGGCTCAGATTCCCTGTGCCTGGGTGCTGGGGCCGGAGTGGGAGTATTAGCCATGGCCTTTTGTTCTCAATATCTCCATGGCATTCTACCCATTCCTCTCCACAGCTCCATCCTGTTCTCTAAGTTGGCCCTTGATCAACTTTAGACAGCAACAGACATGAGCAACAAAGGGCTGTGTGTCTTCTGAAGCGGATATTGAACCGGACCTTCACACAGCTGTGCTTTCAGAGCCTGCCCCTGCCAGCTGCCCTCCTCAGTTCTCACCCTTGTGTGCCGTGCTCCCGTCTTCGGCAGCCTGGGGAGGTGGATGGACGGATTCTTGGAGTCATGTTCTTCATGCCTAAAACAAGCACAAAGGACTCCAGACAGAACCTGCTGTATTGAAATACAGTTATCAAAATGTAAACAAACTCAGGCAAGATAAAGGCTACTTTATTAATGCATTGCATGATAAGATCTGGCAGTCGCTCTAATAACAACGATGATTTTGAAGAAGTGATGAATATAAGAAATTTCAAGGTATCTGCAACAAACGCAGTGGGAAGTGAAAATATTTCAGATTCAAATTGCGCCAGACTTGCAGGTGCCTCTGATACACCCTACTTTGTTGCATACATTAACTGAAGGAATAGCTAAAGTTTAGTTAGGGGTTAATGAAAATAAGTGTGTAATTTTTTCTTTACTGAATGTACAGCCCTCTCTGTTCTGTCTGTGGGCCCCTGACTTCCAGTGTCCAGGTCAGCTCAGCTACTGCCTGCAGTACAATGTTCTCTTTGCCTGGAAGCCATCATTTACTGGCTGGTAGGGCTGCTCTGGGCCCTGCAGCTGGGGTCCCATTTTATTCCCTCACCTCTCTACCTTTCTCCCTCTGTCTCTCTCCCTCCCCCTCTCCCTCTCCCCTTCCCCTCTTCCCCCTCCTTCTCCTCCCTCTCTCCTCCCTCTGTCTCTCTCCCTCCTTCCCACCCCTCCTTTGGCTCCTCCTGGGGGCTACTCACTTAGGGCTGAGATTTAAACATTTTCAGATTTAGAGTAAGTTGGGAAGAAGCAGGAATTAGATATGACTCTCCCAGCCGGTAGACAGGTAGGTGGTCAGACTTCAAACCTACGTCTGTCTGTTTCCAAAAATCCTGTCTTCCCAGCAGGTCTGGGACTTCCCTGCTCATCAATGTGTATTTCTCCCAGAAAGCCAGGGATTTTCCTTGCCTCCAGAAAGCCAATGACTGTCCTTGCCTCAGTCTGGCTCTAGAGAGGGCTCACCTAAACAAAGGACAGCCTTCGGCCTAGGGAAGGGGGACTTCCAAACGCTGCCAGGTACACAGATGCCTTGGCCATGCCTGTCTGTTCTTCATAGGACTCTGCCCTTGTGCCCTCCACCGGGAAGGGGTTTCAGAACATCATTTGGCAAAGACTGAATAATGCCTGCCCCCATCACAGACCCTGTTAAAACTGGAAAAAAAGACCCAAACCAAAACTTCACCTTGCCCAGGCCAGGCACTTGTTTATATTTGTTGTCTCTGTGTCCTACAAACATTAACCAGAAAGCCTCTTTGACCAGACGCAGGGGAAATGGAGGTTGTGCTATCTCCTGCACATGGAGCTCTGAGGCCGAACAAGGGCTTACCCACAAAAGTCAGATGTCTGCTGCTGCTTTCTTAGCAACAGATTTAGAAACCTATTCATCAGACAGACTTCTCCTGAGTGGCTCATCCACATCCCCCCCTCCCCTCACACTTCTGACCCCCCACTCTGCCCACACCCTTGTCACCCTGCTTCAGTTCATTGAGGGAATCAGGATGGCCTCAGGCATTTCATTCATTCATTGATTCACCTATTCATCAAAGCCTTGTTGAGTATCTCGGTATGTGCATGACCCAGCATTATGTGGGCTTTACCAACTTCAGCTCACAACCATTGGATTAAATTCTCTTTTAAAATGGTCTTAAAGCTGTGTTCTTACATGCTTTTTATTTTTTCTAAAAACACTTTTAAAAAGAAAGTAGCTTATATCAGAAAGCAATTTATAGATTAGGCACAGTGGCTCACACTTGTAATCCCAGCACTTTGGGAGGCTGAGGTGGGAGGATCACACAAGCTCAGGAGTTTGAGGCCAGCCTAGGCAACACAGTGAGATCCCATCTCTACAAAAAATCAAATATTAGCCAGTAATGATGGCATGTGCCTGTGGCCACAGCTGTGTGGGAGACTGAGGTGGAAGGATCGCTTGAGCCCAGCAGGTCAAGGCTGCAATGAGCTATGATTTCACCCGTGCACTCCAGCCTGGGTGACAGAGCTAGACCCTGTCTCAAAAAAAAAAAAAAAAAAAAAAAAAGCCTATGGATTATGGCTGGTTGTTATAGAAGAGATAGAGTTTTAGTTCTGATCTTAAGGACTAAAGATAGAACTCTTTCTTCCCTCCTGTGGTAGCCAGGGGCCACTGGACAGCCACAGTTTGGAAACTCCCAATCTATTTTCTTGGGCCTGTCCTGCGTAAACCCTTGGTTCCAGGAGTTCTAGTAACAGGAAGCTGTCCCTGCTTCAGCCTTGAAAATCTTTGCTATTCTTTGAGGCCCACTGGATGCCAGATGTCTTCTGGGAGGCCTTGCTTGCTCACAGTGAATTCTCTCTCCTCTATTTGGATATGCCATTGTCTATGCTTTTTATCTGGTGATGGCCACATAAGTTTTGTGACATCTCTTGCATTCTTGCCTTGTATGCATTTAATGTTTAAAAAACTTTTTTTAAAGCTTTTTATTTTGAGAGACAAGACCTCACTATATTGTCCAGGCTTGACTCGAACTCCTCAGCTCATTCCTCCCACCTCAGCCTCCCAAGTAGCTGGGACCTCAGGTGGGCGCCACTGCGCCCAGCAATGTTGCTATGTTACTTATACCGCAGCCATGCCTAGCTCTTCTCTCCAAGTCCTCAAAGCGCTTCTTCATATTGTCTCTTTCATCTGAAACTTTTCTTCCCCCAGTTAATCCAATCCATAGAATATAACCCTTTCTTCATACAAGTGTATGAAAATATAACCATTTATTCAGTGCGAGTGCATACTTGATGTCAGGTCTTGTTCTTGACGTGAGGGTCAGGGAGACATTTGTGTTTTTTTTTTTTTTTTTTTTTTTTTGAGACAAAGTTTCACTCTGTTGCCCAGGCTGGAGTGCAGTGGCGTGATCTCGGCTCACTACAACCTCCGCCTCCCCGGTTCAAATGATGCTCCTGCCTCAGCCTCCCGAGTACCAGGGATTACAGGCACCCACCACCACGCCCAGCTAATTTTTGTATTTTTAGTAGAGACGGGGTTTCACCCTGTTGGTCAGGCTGGTCTTGAACTCCTGAGCTCAAGTGATCCACCCACCTCAGCCTCCCAAAGTGCTGGGATTACAGGCGTGAGCCACTGCGCCCAGCCGACACTTCTGTCTTGAAAGCGGTCATCCTGCTTGGAGTTCCCCACTCCACTTGTCCTGTTCATGCAGTGCCATTTTAATCCTCTCCAAAAATGTTTCTGTTCCAAAACTTTCGTTTTAAAAATTGAGAAATAATTCACATACCATAACATTCACCCGTTTAAAGTATACAATTCAGTGTTTTTTATTTATTGGCAAAGTTGTGTAACCATTACCACTATCTAATTCCAGATCACTTTCATCACCCCCAAAAGAAACCCCATACCCATTATCAGTCCCTCCCTTTTCCACCTCCCTCCAGCCCCTGGCAAACACCAATCCACCCTCTGTCTCTATAGATTTGCCTGTCCTGGACATTCCATATAAACAGAATCATACAATATGTGACTTTTGCGTTCGCTCCTCTCACTTAGCATGTTAATGTCAAGGTTCATCCACATTGGGGCATGTGTCAGGACTTCATTCCTTTTTATTGCTGAGTAATATTCCATGATAAGAATATACTGTGCCACATTTTGTTTATTCTACAGCTGATGGACTTTTAGGTTTATTATTCTTTTGACTATTATGAATGATGCTCCTATAAATAGTCATATCCTAGTTTTTGTGTGGATGTCAGTCTTCATTTCTCTTGGATCTCTACCTAGGTATAGAATTCCTGGGTCATAGGATAACTATGTTTAACCTTTTGAGGAAGTGCCTGTTTTCACAGCTGCTGCCCCATATTGCACCCCACTAGCAATGTATGGGGGTTTCAGTTTCTCCACATTCTTTCCAAAACTTGTCATTTTTCCACATTTTTGATCAGAGCCATTTTAGGGGGTGTGCAGTGGTATCTCATTGTAGGTTTTTTTTTTGTTGTTATTTTTGTTTGTTTGTCTTTTGAGATGAAATCTCACTCTGTTGCCCAAGCTGGAGTGCGGTAGCATGATCTCAGCTCACGGCAACCTCCACCTCCCGGGTTCAAGCGATTATCCTGCCTCAGCCTCCTGAGTAGCTGGGATCACAGGCATGCGCCACAACACCTGGCTAATTTTTGTATTTTTAGTAGAGGCAGGGTTTCACCATGCTGGCCAGGCTGGTCTCGAACTCCTGACTTCAGGTGATCCACCCACCTCAGCCTCCCAAAGTGCTGGGATTACAGATGTGAGCCACTGCGCCTGACCACTCATGGGCTATGTTTTTACTTTTTTAAAGTAACGGCTTCCTTGAGATATAATTCACATACCATACAATTCGTCCATTTAAAATGCACAAATTAGAGTCTGTAGTTGAAGCTCTTGAGGAGGCTAAGGCAGGAGGTTTGCTTGGGCCCAGGAGTTTGAGTCCAGCCTGGGCAAAATAGAGAGATCGCATCTCTGTAATTTTTTTAAATTATGTGTACAATTTAATGATGTTTAGTGTATTCATAGATAGTGCAACCATCACCACAGTCAATTTTAGAATATTTTTATCACCTCATTAAGAAATCACCACAGTTGTGGTGGCTCACACCTGTAATCCCAGCACTTTGGGAGGCCGAGGCAGGCGGATCACTTGAGACCAGGAGTTTGAGACCGGCCTGGCCAACATGGTGAAACCCTGTCTCTACTAAAAAATACAAAAATCAGCCAGGCGTGGTGGCTCACGTCTGTAATCCCAGTTACTCAGGAGGCTGAGACAGGAGAATTGTTCAAACCCGGGAGGCGGAGGTTGCCGTGGGCCGAGATTGCACCACTGCGCTCCAGCCTGGATGACAGAGCGAGACTCTGTCTCAAAAATAATACATACATACAAACATAAATACATAAATGAAAGAGGCCGGGTGAGGTGGCTCACACCTGTAATCCCAGCACTTTGGGAGGCTGAGGCTGGCAGATCATGAGGTCAGGAGATCGAGATCATCCTGGCTAACACGGTGAAACCCCGTCTCTACTAAATATACAAAAATTAGCCAGGTGTGGTGGTGGGCACCTGTAGTCCCAGCTACTCAGGAGGCTGAGGCAGGAGAATCGCTTGAACCTGGGAGGTGGAGGTTGCAGTGAGCAGAGATCGCGCCACTGCACTCCAGCCTGGGAGACAAAGCGAGACTCCGTCTCAAAAAAAAAAAAAAGAAAGAAAGAAAGGAAGGAAGGAAGAAAAGAAAGAAAGAGAGAGAGAAAGAAAGAAAGGAAGGAAGAAAAGAAAGAGAGAAAGAAAGAAAGAAAGAAAGAAAAAGAAAGAAAGAAAAGAAAAGAAAGAAAGAAAGAAACTCTGCTTACTTTTAATAGTGGATAGAACAACTAGGCAGAAGATCAACAAGGAAATAGAAGACTTAATACTATAAAGTGGCCAGGTGCAGTGGCTTACGCCTGTAATCCCAGAATCTTGGGAGGCCAAGGCGGGTGGATCACCTGACGTCAGGAGTTCTAGACCATCCTGGCCAACATGGTGAAACCCTGTCTCTACTAAAAGTACAAAAATTAGCTGGTTGTGGTGGCATGTGCCTGTCATCCCAGCTATTCAGAGGGGCCAAGACAGGAGAGTCGCTTGAACCCGGGAGGCAGAAGTTGCAGTGAGCTGAGATCGCCATCGCACTCCAGCCTGGGGGAAAAGAGCGAGACTTCGTCTCAAAAAAAAAGAAAACAAAAAACAAAAAACAAAACCCAAAAAACTATAAAGCAACTAGACCTAACAGACATCTCTAGAATACTCTACCCAGCAATAGCAGAAATAGCAGAATATATATTCTTCTCAAATACACATAGACGATTCTTTAAGATAGACCATATGGTAGGCCATTGAACAAATGTTAATACATTTAAAAGGATAAAAACAATGTAAAGCATGTTTTCTGACCACAATGGAATGAAATGAGAAATCAATAACAAAGAAACTTGGGAAACATACATCTGTGGAAATGTGCATGAAAATCTCCAACTATCATTATTCAATTTCTGTTTCTCCCCTCCATTCTGTTCATTTTTGCTTTATGTATTTGGGTGCAAAATACCATACCATACATATATGTAAAAATTAACTTAAAATGGATCATATACACAAATATAAGAGCTAAAACTATAAAACTTTTAGAAAAAAAGGCATAAATCTTTGTGACTTTGGATTAGGCAATGATTTCTTAGTTATGACATCAAAAGCACATGCAACAACAAAATAGACAAATTATACATTATCAAAAGTTAAAACTTTTATTTTTATTTTTAATTTTTATATTTTTATATATATTTTTTGAGACAGAGTCTCGCTCTGTCACCCAGGCCGGAGTGCAGTATGGCAATCTCGGCTCACTGCAACCTCCGCCTCTCGGGTTCAAGTGATTCTCATACCTCAGCCTCCTGAGTAGCTGGGACTACAGGCGCACATCACCATGCCTGCCTAATTTTTTGTATTTTAGCAGAGACAGGGTTTCACCATGTTGCCCAGGGTGGTCTTGAACTCCTGAGCTCAGGCAATCTGCCCGCCTCAGCCTCCCAAAGTGCTAGGATTACAGGCGTGAGCCACCATGCCCACCTAAAAGTTAAAACTTTTATTTTTCAAAGGAAACCATGAAGAAAGTGAAAAGACAACCCACAAAATGGAAAAACATGTTTGCAAGTCATATATGTGATTTTAAAAAATCTACAACTCAATAAAAAAAAGTTAGCCCGGCTAAACGCAGAGGATTTGAATGGATAACTCTCCAAATAAGATCTACAAATGGCCATCCAGGCGCGGTGGCTCACGCCTGTAATCCCAGCACTTTGGGAGGCCAAGGTGGGAGGAGTGCTTGAACCCAGGAGTTTGAGACCAGCTCTGGGCAACATAGTGAGATCTCATCTCTTACAAAAAATGAACAAAATTAGCTGGGCGTGGTGGCTTGTATCTATAGTCCCAGCTACTTGGGAGGCTGAGGTGGGAGGATTGCTTGAGCCCAGGAGGTCGAGTCTGCAGTGAGCCAAGATCATGCCACTGCACTCTAGCCTGGGCAACAGACCCTGTCTTAACAACAACAACAACAAAAAATACACACACACACACACACACACACACACACGAATGACCAATAAGCACATAAAAAGATGCTTGACGGCCGGGCGCGGTGGCTCACGCCTGTAATCCCAGCACTTTGGGAGGCCGAGGCGGGTGGATCATGAGGTCAGGAGATCGAGACCATCCTGGCTAACAAGGTGAAACCCCGTCTCTACTAAAAATACAAAAAATTAGCCGGGCGCGGTGGCGGGCGCCTGTAGTCCCAGCTACTCGGGAGGCTGAGGCAGGAGAATGGCGTGAACCCGGGAAGCGGAGCTTGCAGTGAGCCGAGATTGCGCCACTGCAGTCCGCAGTCCGGCCTGGGCGACAGAGCGAGACTCCGTCTCAAAAAAAAAAAAAAAAAAAAAAAGATGCTTGACATCATTAACCATCAGGAAAATGCAAATCAAAACCTCAAAGAGATATCACTTCACACCCACTAGGATAATTTAAAAGACAGACAGTAACAAGTATTGGCAAGAACACAGAGAAATAGAATTTTCATACACTGCTGGTAGAACTGTAAAATGGTGCAGCGACTTTAGAAAACAGCCTGGAGGCACCTCAAAGGGTTAAACAGACTTACAATATGACACAGCAATTCCACTTCTAGGTGAATATCCAAGAGAAATAAAAACACACATCTACACAAAAACTTGTATGTGAATATTCATAGCAGCATTTGCTGGGTGCGGGGCTCACACCTTTAATCCCAGCACTTTGGGAGGCCAAGTCGGGTGGATCACCTGACGTCAGGAGTTTCAGACCAGCCTGGGCAACATGGTGAAACCCCATCTCTACTAAAAATACAAAAATTAGCTGAGCTTGGTGGCAGGTGCCTGTAGTCCCAGCTACTTGGGAGGTTGAGGCATGAAAACCACTTAAATCCAGGAGACAGAAGTTGCAGTGAGCCGAGATCATGCCACTGCATTCCAGCCTGGGCAACAGAGCAAGACTACATCTCAAAACAAAAACAAACAACACAAAACAACAAATATTCACAGCAGCATTATTCTAATAGCCAAAATGTGGAAACACTCCAAATATCCCTCCAATGATGAGTGGATAAATAAAATGTGATATAATGAGACTTTATTTGGTAATACAAAGAAACAAAGTACTGATAACAAGCTACAATGTGGAGGAATCTTAAACACCTTATGCTAAATGAAAGAACCCAGACACAAAAGGCCACATATCATGTTTCCATTTATATGACATGTTCGGAACAGACAAATCCATAGAGACAGAAAGTGAATTGCTGGTTGCCTAGGGCTAGGTGGGGAGAGCAGAGTTGGGGTGGAACAGGGAGAGACTGCTGCTTATGGGTTTGCAGTTTCTTTTAAGGGTGATAAAAATGTTCTAAAATTCATTGTGATGACAGCACAACACCTTGAATATATTTTTAAAAACCCATTGAATTGTATACTTTAAGTGGCTTTTCGATATTATATTTCAATAAAGCTGTTACTTAAAAAAATGTTGGTAGTCTTTCCGTGTAAATAAGGGATCTGTAGTTATTTTTAAAATAAAAACTAAAACTAACTTTTTTATTTTTATTTTTTTTGAGACAGAGTCTTGCTCTGTCGCCCAAACTGGAGGGCAATGGCGCAATCTCGGCTCACTACAAGCTCTGCCTTCCAGGTTCACACCATTCTCCTGCCTCAGCCTCCCAAGTAGCTGGGACTACAGGAGCCTGCCACCACGCCCGGCTAATTTTTTGTATTTTTAGTAGAGACAGGGTTTCACCGTGTTAGCCAGGACGGTCTCGATCTCCTAACCTTGTGATCCACCCGCCTCGGCCTCCCAAAGTGCTGGGATTACAGCCGAGAGCCACCGCGCCCGGCCTTTTTATTTTTTGTTTAGACGGAGTCTTGCTGTCACCAGGCTGGAGTGCAGTGGAGCGATCTCGGCCGCTGCAACCTCCGCCTCCCGGGTTTGAGTGAGTCTCCTGACTCAGCCTCCCAAGTAGCTGGGATTACAGGCATGCACCACCATGTCTGGCTAATTTTTGTATTTTTACTAGTGACAGGGTTTCACCATGTTGGCCAGGCTGGTCTCAAACTCCTGGCCTCAAGTGATCCACCCGCCTCGGCCTCGCAAAGTGCTGGGATTACAGGCATGAGCCACTGCACCTGGCCTTTTTTTTTTTTTTTTTCTTGAGATGGAGTCTCGCTGTCTTGCGCAGGCTGGAGTGATTCTTCTGCCTCAGCCTCCAGATTAGCTGGGATTACAGGCACCCGCCATCATGCCCAGCTAATTTTTTTTGTACTTTTGTAGAGACAGGGTTTTATCACGTTGGCTAGGCTGGTCTCAAACTCCTGACCTCAGGTGATCCTCCCACTTTGGCCTCCCAAAGTGCTGGGATTACAGGTGTGAGCCACCGCACCAGGCCTAACTTTTATATAAAACAAACAAACAAACAAACAAACAAACAAACAAACTGTTGGAAGGGCAGAAGACTGCTGTTAGTGTTAAGAAAATCAAGCTGTGTAGGAACTACCAACAAACTCAGCTCCCTGCAGCACTGAGGTGAACACCTTGCAGGAAGACACCCGGAACATGTGGCTGAAACCTTCTTTCCAAAGCCTGCTGAAGTCTGCTCACCTGCCTTCCGCTGCCAGAAGCCATAATCCTCTCTACTCTCACTCTCTTAATCTTGCAGATACACTGTTTATTGGCAGAACCTGCACTGGAGCCCTGAAGAGCAGCTACAGGAACTGTCATCTCCCAGATGCCAGCTCCTGTGATACCGGGGAGAACACAGCAGGAAGTGGGAATGGCTCTAAGCAGCCACACAGAGCAGGAAATGAACTCACCTTCTGTTTGAAATGAGGAAATCGAACCCGATATTGTAGAAGTGACTTGCTCAAGGTCACATAACTTGCTAGTGATAATGTACCTACTCTTCAGCTTAGGGCTTTCGTTGATGGCGGGGGGGACAAAAACCATCTGTGTGAATTTTAGGAGGCACAATAAACTGACTATCAAGTTACTATTTTGATTTAACACCCAGAAAACAAATATACCAAAGATGATTTATGTAGGAAAAATCCTGGTGCTGTAGATTTCAGGCCTGTCCAAACATTACACTTCAAACAGCTGCTTGACCCTGCAAAATAAAAGCTCATTTCATAGGCTTGGTGGTTTGTCAAAAAATCCTTCAACATGATATTTTGGCACACACACAAAAAAATTCCACATATCATGAGCAGAAAGTCTGAGCAGAGTTTTGCTCTTGTTGCCCAGGCTGGAGTGCAATGGCGGGATCTCAGCTCACCGCAACCTCTGCCTCCCAGGTTCAAGCAATTCTCCTGCCTCAGCCTCCCTGGTAGCTGGGATCACAGGCGTGTGCCACCACACCCAGCTAATTTTGTATTTTTAGTAGAGATGGGGTTTTTCCATGTTGGTCAGGCTGGTCTCAAACTCCCGACCTCAGGTGATCCGCCTGCTTTGGCCTCCCAAAGTGCTGGGATTACGGGCATGAGCCACCAAGCCCAGCCTGATTTTTTTTTTTTTTTTTTTTTGAGATGGAGCCTTGCTCTGTTGCCCAGGCTGGAGTGCAGTGGAGTGACCTTGGCTCACCACAACCTCTGCCTCCTGGGTTCAAGTGATTCTCCTGCCTCAGCCTTCTGAGTAGCTGGGACTACAGGCGCATGCCACCATGCCTGGCTAAATTTTTTTGTATTTTTAGTAGAAACAGGGTTTCACTATGTTGGCCAGGCTGGTCTCAAACTCCTGAACTTGTGATCTGCCCGCCTCAGCCTCCCAAAGTGCTGGGATTACAGGCATGAGCCACCGCACCCAGCTAGTCTGATTTTTTATTAAGATTTGTTTACTGAGAACCAAGGCTCCAATTACCCATTCACTCATTCTTAAATTTGTTCATTCATTCGCAAATGTTCCCTAAACATCCCTTAAGGAGCTTACTTCAGTGAAGGAGACAGAAACGTAAAAAGTGAATAAAATATATATGAGACTGATAAACTTAGTGTAAGAGTATAAATATATGTAAACGGATGAACTAATTATTATAAGTATAATAGGGTTGGGCACAGTAGCTCCTGTCTGTAATCCCAGCACTTTGGGAGGCTAAGGCAGGAAGATCGCTTAAGTCCAGGAGTTCGAGACCAGCCTGGAAAACCTAATGAAACCTTGTCTCTACAACAAAAGAAAAAGTAAAAAGTGGCCAGGCACAGTGGCTTATGCCTGTAATCCCAGCTCTTTGGGAGGCCAAGGTGGGCAGATCATTTGAGGTCAGGAGTTTGAGATCAGCCTGGCCAACATGAAGAAACCTCGTCTCTACTGAAAATATAAAAATTAGCCAGACTGGGCACAGTGGCTCATGCCTGTAATCCCAGCACTTTGGGAGGCCGAGGCGGGTGGATCATGAGGTCAAGAGTTCAAGACCAGCCTGATCAACATGGTGAAACCTCGTCTCTACTAAAAATACAAAAATTAGCCAGGCATGGTGGCAGGCACCTGTAATCCCAGCTACTCAGCAGGCTGAGGCAGGAGAATCGCTTGAACCTGGGAGGAGGAGGTTGCAGTGAGCCAAGATCGTGCTACTGCACTCCAGCCTGGGTGACACAGCAAGACTCCGTCTCAAAAAAAAAAAAAAAAAAAAATTAGCCAGGCATGGAGGTGGCTCTCATGGAGGCAGCTAGCATGAGGCTAGGGAGCGCCGAGCCACGCGTCATGCCCTGCGCTACCCAGACTAGTGAACAATACAGTCAGGATGGCTAAAGGTGACCCCAAGAAACCACAGGGCAAGATGTCTGCTTATGCCTTCTCTGTGCAGACATGCTGCAGTGGGATAATTAAGGAATCAGAAAGACTGAGGGGTTGAGGAGGAATTATTTAATTATTTAGGTGCACCGACCCAGTCGGATTAACATCCAAAGGACTGAGCCATGAACAAAGAGTCAAGCTACCTTTTAAGCATTTTGTGGGGCGGTGGGAGATCTGTGCAGGGGGAAGCATATTACAGAAGCAAGAAACAAAGACAGTTATTTAATTAAGACATGCATTACATCATTTCTTACTTTCCAAGGAACAACATGTTTTACGACTTGAGATTATCTGCCTAGTGACCTTGCAGCTACACAGCTAGAGAAACAGAGTCTTCACAATGCCTGGGAAAGGGAGAGATAAGGCTCACTAGCCACAGAAAAACAGGCAGTCAATTTTTAAAGGACTTCAGCTTTTTTTCTTTCTCAGGGAGAATTGGGTTTTCTTACATACAACTGAGTTTTTGCTTACACATTCTTTAATTTCTTTTTTTTTTCTTTTGAGACGGAGTTTCGCTCTTGTTGCCCAGGCTAGAGTGCAAAGGTGCGATCTCGGCTCACAGCAACCTCCGCCTCCCAGGTTCAAGCCATTCTCCTGCCTCAGCCTCTGGAGTAGCTGGGATTACAGGCATGCACCACCACACCTGGCTAATTTTTTGTATTTTTAGTAGAGACAGGGTTTCTCTATGTTGGTCAGGCTGGTCTTGAACTCTGGACCTCAGGTGATCCGCCTGCCTTGGCCTCCCAAATTACTGGGATTACAGGCGTGAGCCACTGCGCCCGGCCTCTTTAATTTCTTTTAATTCCTGTTCCAATGCAGAGAAGAACATAAGAAGAAAAACCCAGAAGTCCCTGTCAATTTTGCAGAATTTTCCAAGAAATGCTCTGGGAGGTGGAAGACAATGTCCAGTAAAGAGAAATTTAAATTTGGTGAAATGGCAAAGGCGGATGAAGTGTGCTATGATCGGGAAATGAAGGATTATGGACCAGCTAAGGGAGGCAAGAAGAAGGATCCTAATGCCCCCAAAAGGCCACCATCTGGATTCTTCCTGTTCTGTTCAGAATTCCGCCCCAAGATCAAATCCACAAACCCCGGCATCTCTATTGGAGACGTGGCAAAAAAGTTGGGTGAGATGTGGAATAACTTAAATGACAGTGAAAAGCAGCCTTACGTCACTAAGGCGGCAAAGCTGAAGGAGAAGTATGAGAAGGATGTTGTTGACTGTAAGTTGAAAGGAAAGTTTTATGGCGCAAAGCGTCCTGCTAAAGTTGCCCGGAAAAAGGTGGAAGAGGAAGATGAAGAAGACGAGGAGGAAGAAGAGAAGGAGAAGGACGAGGAGGATGAACAAAGAAACTGTTTATCTGTCTCCTTGTGAATACATAGAGTAGGGGAGCGCCGTAACTGACACATCTCTTATTTAATGTCTGTTGCCCTCATTAGGTTTAATTACAAAATTTGATCACGATCGTATTGTAGTCTCTCAAAGTGCTCTAGAAATTGTCAGTGGTTTACATGAAGTGGCCATGGGTGTCTGGAGCACCCTGAAACTGCACCAAAGTTGTACATATTTCCAAACATTTTTAAAATGAAAAGGCACTCTCGTGTTCTCCTCACTCTGTGCACTTTGCCGTTGGTGTGACAAGGCATTTAAAGATGTTTCTGGCGTTTTCTTTTTATTTGTAAGGTGGTGTTAACTATATGGTTATTGGCTAGAAATCCTGAGTTATCAACTGTATATCTCTATAGTTTGTAAAAAGAACAAAACAACCGAGACAAACTCTTGATGCTCCTTGCTCGGCGTTGAGGCTGTGGGGAAGATGCCTTTTGGAGGGGCTGTAGCTCAGGGCGTGCACTGTGAGGCTAGACCTGTTGACTATGCAGTGGGCATCCATTTAGCTTTAGGTCGTCTTGTTTCTGTATATAGTGACATAGCATTCTGCTGCCTTCTTAGTTGTGGACAAAGCGGGGTCAGCTGGCATGAGAAGTTTTTTTTTTTTTTTTTTTTGAGTAAAGTGGGGTAGTTTTTAAACAAGCTGTAGAACTCTTCATTGTCAGCAAAGTGAAGAGCCACTGCATCAATGAAAGTTCAAGAACCTCCTGTACTTAAACACGATTTGCAACATTTTTTTTTGTATGTTTAGAATGCTGAAATGTTTTTGAAGTTAAATAAACAGTATTACATTTAAAAAAAAAATAGCCAGGCATGGTGGTGGGTGTCTATAATCCCAGCTACTCGGGAGGCTGAGGTGGGAGGATTGCTTGAGCCCAGGAAATCGAGGCTGTAGTGAGCCAAGATCATGCCACTGTACTGCAGCCTGGGTGATAGAATGAGACTCTGTCTCAAAAACAAGCAAGCAAACAAACAAAAACTCTGAAAGAAGCACTAGCAAAGAATTATGAGAGCATCTGAAAGGAATAATAATAACTCTTTTTTTTTTTTTTTGAGACAGAGTTTCGCTGTTGTTGCCCAGGCTGGAGTTGCAATGGCGCGATCTTGGCTCGCCACAACCTCCGCCTCCCGGGTTCAAGCGATTCTCCTGCCTCAGCCTCCCGAGTAGCTGGGATTACAGGCATGTGCCACCACTCCTGGTCAATTTTTTGTATTTTTAGTAGAGACAGGGTTTCTCCATGTTGGCCAGGCTGGTCTTGAACTCCCAACCTCAGGTAATCCACCCGCCTAGGCCTCCCAAAGTTCTGGGATTACAGGCGTGAGCCACCATGCCTGGCCACAATAATAACTAACTTTTATTGGGCACTCACTATGTTTTAGGCATCTTCTAAATGCTTTACATGTATTAATTTATTTAATCGTCACAAAAACCCTATGATGTGAGTGGGTAGCACTCTTTTTAGAAAACTCAGGCACAGAGTGGTTTAATATTGAAGAGGGGGAAAAATAACTTTTTTTTCTGCCCTTCATAGTTCTTAGACAGGATGGACCTCTGTAACACAGGACACATAACAAGAGAAAAACAGGCCGGGCACAGTGGCTCACACCTGTAATCCCAGTACTTTGGGAGGCCTAGGCGGGAGGATTGCTTGAGCTCAGAAGTTTGAGACCAGCCTTGGCAACATGGCTGAGATGCTGCTGTCTCTACAAAAAATACAAAATAAAATTAACTGGGCAGTGGCAGGTGACTTAGTCTTAGCTACTTGGGAGGCTGAGGTAACAGGATCACCTGAGCCCAGGAGGTTGAGGCTGCAGTGAGCTGAGATTGTGACACTACACTCCAGCCTGGGCAACAGAGCAAGATCCTGTCTCGAAACAAAACAAAACTCCAGAAGTTTAACAACATGTATACCTCCTATGTATCCATAGGAGATAAACAGAGAAAGAAGTAAACCTCAAAGAGGTGGCTTTGAATTCAGGGTTCAATACTATCATTTGCTGGACAGAGAAAGAAGGCTGTGGAGAAGGCTGATAATGAGGGAGCCGCCAGGAAAAGCAGAGTAAACAAGACTGAGGTTTGCTGCACAGATTTAAGCCAGAGCCATCTCTACTGATGAGTTCCTAGTGATTTAGAATCATCCTGCTTTTCCTGGTACAGAAAGGAAGACAACCCTTACAAATGGAGACTTCCGATCAAGCGTGGTGGCTCATGCCTGTAATCCCAGCAATTTGGGAGGCCAAGGCGGGTGGATCACCTGAGGTCACTAGTTCGAGACCAGCCTGGTCAACATGGTAAAACCCCATTTCTGCTAAAAACACATAAATTAGCTGGGTGTGGTGTCACGCACCTATAGTCCCAGCTACTTGGGAGGCCGAGGCAGGAGATTGCTTGAACCCGGGAGGCGGAGATTGCCATGAGCTGAGATCACGCCACTGCACTCCAGCCTGGTGACAGAGAAAGACTCTGTCTCAAAAAAAAAACAAAACAAAAAAACAAAAACAAATGGAGACTTCCTTTATGGATTAAATTTCCCTTACAAAAGGGTAATTTCTACTGTTTTCAGAGCTTCTCCTGTATCTGTAGCTTCTCAAAATCATCAGCTCAAAATAGTCCTTACGCTAAGGAGGCATATTTTGTGCTGGCATATGCTGGTCTCCTACAATAACTTGCCAAAGATCACAAAACTAATAAGCGAATTCGGGCTCCATGCCTGTGTCCTGCGTCATCTCACTGCAGATCTTTACAGGACAAGGCAAGTCACTTGGTAACTTCTAATTAGAGGGATCAAGGAAGACTTCATGGAAGAGGCAGCATTTGAATGAAGCCCTGAAAGTAAAGTAAAAGAGCATTCCAAGTTGGGAGCGTAGATACAGAGATGCAAAAAGAAATGTTTGGGGGTAAGCATTTGGCCTGGCACAAGAAGGTGGAAGATATTGAGGGGGAGCTTGGACTCTCTGCTAAGTGTCTACACACTATTGTGAAGGTATTGAGAAGTCAAAGATTTTTTCTGAGCCGTTTTTTCTAGCCCTTTAATACAAAATAGCTAACACCTACGCCAGGCATGGTGGCTCAAGCCTGTAACCCCAGCACTTTCAGAGACCAAGGCTGGAGGATTGTTTGAAGCCAGGAGTTCAAGACCACCCTTGCCAACATAATGAGACCCCCATCTGTATATATATAAAAAAATCAGGGCCGGGTGTGGTGCTCGCACCTGTAATCCCAGCACTTTGGGAGGCCAAGGAGGGCGAATCACAAGGTCAGGAGTTCGAGACCAGCCTGCCTAATATGGCGATACCCCGTCTCTACTAAAAATACAAAAATTAGCCGGGCGTGGTGGCAGGCGCCTGTAGTCCCAGCTACTCGGGAGGCCGAGGCAGGAGAATCGCTTGAACCCGGGAGGCAGAGGTTGTAGTGAGCCAAGATCGCACCACTGCACTCCAGCCTGGTGACAGAGCGAGACTCCGTCTAAAAAAAAAAAAAAAAAAAAACTAACGTCTAATATGGGGTGGTGGTAGAGGAGAAAAATTTCTGATATCTATTCTAGAAGTGCAACTTCATTGAAAACACAAGACATAAGAACACTCAAAAAAATGATAGACAAGGTTAAAAATGTGATACAAGAGATGTTTCAAGGTTGTGCATGGCCAGGCGCGGTGGCTCACACCTGTAATCCCAGCACTTTGGGAGGCCGAGGCAGGTGGATCACGAGGTCAGGGGTTTGAGACCAGCCTGACCAACATGGTGAAACCCCGTCTCTACTAAAAATACAAAAATTAGCTGGGCATGGTGGCGGGTGCCTATAATCCCAGCTACTCAGGAGGCTGAGGCAGGAGAATTGCTTGAACCCAGGAGGCGGAGGTTGCAGTGAGCCGAGATTGTGCCACTGTACTCCAGCCTGGGCGACAGAGCGAGACTCTGTCTCAAAAAAAAAAAAAAAAAAAAAAAGGTTGTATGTGATTGTTTAACAAACCACATGGTTTTGTAAATTTAAGGTTATATTAATTGTTTCTTTGGTTTGAATAGAGGGTTTGCAAGTAGAAGAAGAGTCTGGAAAAGGCTTTGGGCAGTTGAGACAGGTTTTGGAAGGAAGCTGCTATGGTTTGAGAATGTGTTCTCCAAAACTCATGTGTTGGAAACTTAATCCCCAATGCAACAGTGTTAGGAGGTGGGGCCTAATAAGGTGATTAGGTCATAAGCGTTCTGCTCTCCTGATGGATTAATGTCATTTTTGAGGGAGTGGGTTAGTTATCTCTAGAGTGGGCTGTTTTAAAAGTGAGTTTGGCCTCCTTTTGCTCACTTGCCCTCGCTCTCTCTTGCTCTTTTGGCTTCTGCCATGGGATGTCTCAGCAAGAAGGCCCTTGTCAGATGCTGGCACTTTGATATTGAACTTCCAGACTCCAGAACTGTGAGAAATAAATTGATTTTCTTCATAAATTTCCCAGTCTGTGGTATCGTGTTATAGCAACACAGAACAGATTAAGACAGAGGCCATAAATAATGGACGGCAAGCCCTATTGCCAAATGTGGGAATAAAACGGTTAATGCTGAAACTGACTGCCCAAGAACCCTCTCCTTACCTTCATAACGCCCCAGGGAGAGGAGAATCCCAGTAATGAGTGACTGGAAATAATAAACTGGCTCTGACAGGAGCCTAGGTGTCCAGATGTAGGCAGCTCCAGGCTGACTTTGTGGTTCCACAATCCAGAGTGAGAAAATTCCAAGGCTTCCTCCTAGACCACATCCTAAATGCGTAAGAATTGCCAGAGAAAATTATCCAAGATATGGAAATGGGCAAAGGAGATTACCAGGTTTCCTTTCAATGGAATTGTTATTACTGCCTATTGGAATTTCTGGAATTTTTGGATTTTATAGGGTTGTGCAATTTAACTGATTTCTTATTGACTAGGTTATTTTATAATTTTGTAGGAAATGAAGTAAAATTGTAAAAAAAATCTGATGGTAAGGCAAATTCTTTTTTTTTTTTTTTTTTTTTGAGACAGAGTCTCGCTCTGTCACCTAGGCTGGAGTGCAGTGGCATGATCTCTGCTCACTGCAAGCTCCGCCTCCCGGGTTCACGCCATTCTCCTGCCTCAGCCTCCCGAGTAGCTGGGACTACAGGCGCCTGCCAGCACGCCTGGCTAATTTTTTTTTTGTATTTTTAGTAGAGACAGGGTTTCACCGTGTTAGCCAGGATGGTCTCGATCTCCTGACCTCGTGATCTGCTGGCCTCAGCCTCCCAAAATGCTGGGGTTACAGGCGTGAGCCACCGCGCCTGGCTTGGTAAAGCAAATTCTTATCCATAGCAATGCAAATAAATTTTGTCTGATAAAGATACAATTGATTTCTCCTCTGCAGAAGAGAGAACATCAAACATTACATTTTATTGCACTGTAGGATATTAACCAGTTTTGCATCTATTTGCAAAACCATTTTATCTTTTCTCTTTGCCTCTCTGTTCCTCAAATTCCCTTTGAAATAATCTTAACATCTTACCAGTGCCCTCATTAATTGAATTGAATAAAATATTTGACCTGTGTTCATTGTATATTTGCACAAAACTATGTTTTCGATTTTTTTTTTTTTTTTTTTTTTGAGACAGCGTCTTACTCTGTCACCCAGGCTGGAATGCAGTGGCACAATCTTGGCTCACTGCAGCCTCAACTTCCCAGGCTTAAGCAATCCTCCCACCTCAGCCTCCCTGGTACCTGGGACCACAGGCTCATGCCACCACATCTGGCTAATTTCTTGTATGTTTTGTAGAGATGAGATTTCACTATGTTGCTCAGGCTGGTCTTGAACTCCTGGCCTTAAGAGATCAGCCTGCCTCAGCCTCCCAAAGTGCTGGGATTAAAGGTGTGAGCCGTGGTGGCTCACGCCTGTAATCCCAGCACTTTGGGAGGCTGAGTCGGGCAGATCACAAGGTCAGGAGATTGAGACCATCCTGGCTAACATGGTGAAACCCTGTCTCTACTAAAAACAGAAAAATTAGCTGGGCGTGATGGCAGGCTCCTGTAGTCCCAGCTACTCAGGAGGCTGAGGCAGGAGAATGGCGTGAACCCGGGAGGTGGAGCTTGCAGTGAGCCGAGATCATTCCACTGCACTCCAGCCTGGGTGACAGAGCCAGATTCCATATCAAAAAACAAACAAACAAACAAAAAAGGTGTGAGCCACTGCGACTGGCCCTTGTTTTTACATCTTAAAATATTATACTTTACATTGTTAATTCCTGCAGGTTTTCCAGTATCTAGGCTAATCAGAAGAAAGTAAATGCCACAATTTTCACAAATGGACCAAAAGTAGTTTCCACTATCTGCAGTGCTTGTTGGCAACTCTGATAATTGTAATGGAGTTTTAAACAGACATTTTATGAGAATTAGAAAAGAGGGGAAAAGCATTTACTAGGAACTGTATATTGCCAATTACTGTGCTAAATACACAGACGTTATCTCACTTATTCCTCAGAAAATCTTTGAGATCTTTGTCCTAATTTTGCAGGAATAAACAGGAAATATTTGAGTAAGTATGGTAACACCCAACTGCAGATCAAGTCACATAAGTGGAAAATTACAATAATGGTTCATGAACCCTGGTGGTTAAAAGGGCGTATCATAAAAAGGGTGGACAATTCAGTAAACATGTGAATGAAAGGACAACCAGCAAGATTAAAGTCATAAACAAGAAAAACTGGTGCCAGTGCTTGGGCACAGCTTAATTACATAGGCACAGCTTGAAGGCGTCTTTGTTTCTTTAGACCTCAGTTAGCAACAGATCTTCCCTCACACACCCACCTTCCACCCTCTGCTTCCCTTCCTGAGCAAGAGAGGGAATTTAGCATTCACTTCAGTGCCTGCCTTCCTACATCAAGACCTATGTACATACCAGGCAAAATGAACTCTTTAAGAATAAAAGAAAAAAAAACCTATGTACTGTGATTCTCAAAAGGATTTGTACTCCATGGCCAGAAGGCAGCAAGAGTGACTAGAAGCTGATAGAACTGAGGTAGCCTCTTAGAAACAGAAAGAGAGTACGTCCCTCCACTGTATCTGTGATACTATCTAAAACACAAGATCTAGCCAGGAGTGGTGGCTCACACCTGTAATACCAGCACTTTGGGAGGCCAAGGCAGGCAGATCACTTGAGGTCAGGAGTTCGAGACCACACTGGCCAACATGGTGAAGCCTTGTCTCTATTAAAAATACAAAAATTAGCCAGGCATGGTGTCACACACCTGTAATCCCAGCTACTCGGGAGGCTGAGACAGGAGCATCACTTGAACCTGGGAGGTAGAGATTACAGTGAGCTGAGATTGCACCACTGCACTCCAGCCTGGGCAAGAGAGTGAGACTCTGTCTTAAAAAATAATAATAAATAAATAAGATCTGATGCAAAATGGAATAATGCTAACTTTTTTATTTTTTGAGACGGATCTGGCTCTGTTGTTCAGACTGGAGTGTGGTAGTGTGATCACAGCTCACTGAAGCCTCAACCTCCTGGACTAAAGCAATTCTCCCACCTCAGCCTCCTGAATAGCTGGGACCACAGGTATGTGCCACCACACCTGGCTAATTTTTTATTTTTTGTAGAGATGGGGGTCTCACTATGTTGCTCAGGCTGGTCTTGAACTCCTGGCCTCAAGTGATTCTCCTGCCTTGGCCTCCTAAAGTGCTGAGATTAAAGGTGTGAGATGCCATGCTCAGCCAGCATAATGCTAATATTTAAAATATTGGTTGTTATATTTTTCTCTATTTTTGCCTCTATACTTGATATATTTTATGAAAAATAAGTTTATTGTCAAGAAAAAGAAAATCTGGAGGAAAAAATATTTAAATTATTTAATTATTTGTCTTGATTTTGAACCCCCACCCCATAACAGAAGAGAGATGGGAAGGTAGCTAGGTGCCGGCTGCTTTTTTTTTTCTTTTTCTTTTTTTGAGACAGGGTCTCACTTTGTCACTCAGGCTGGAGTGCAGGGGCACAATCTCGGCTTACTGCAGCCTTGGCCTCCTGGGTTCAAGGGATCCTCCTGCCTCACCCCACCAAGTAGCTGAGACCTGGGGCACCACCACACCCGGCTAATTTCTGTTTGTTTTTGTAGAGAAGGGATTTCACCCAAGCTGGTTTCAAACTCCTGGACTCAAGCGATTCTCCTGCCCTGGCCTCCTAAAGTGCTGGGATTATAGGTATGAGCCACCACACCCAGCCTCCAGCTGCTTTTCTTTTCTTTTCTTTGTATTTTTTGTTTTGTTTTGTTTTTGAGATGGAATCTTGCTCTGTTGCCCCAGACTGGAGTGCAGTGGTGCAATCTTGGCTCACTGCAACCTCTGCCTCTGGAGTTTAAGTGATTCTCCTGCCTTGGCCTCCCAAGTTTAGCTGGGATTACAGGTATGTGCCACCATGCCCGACTAATTTTTTTGTATTTTTAGTAGAGACGTGGTTTCACCATGTTGGCCAGGCTGGTTTCAAGCTCCTGACCTCAAGTGACCCACCCTCCTCGGCCTCCCAAAGTGCTGGGATTACAGGCATGAACCACCATGCCCAGCCTCCAGCTGCTCTTTTTTTGTTTGTTTGAGACAGAGTCTCGCTCTTGTCACCCAGGCTAGAGTGCAATGGTACGATCTCGGCTCACTGCAACCTCTGCCTCCTGGGTTCAAGCAATTCTCCTGCCTCAGCCTCCCAAGTAGCTGGGATTACAGGTACCCACCACCACACCCAGCTAATTTTTGTATTTTTAGTAGAGATGGGGTTTTGCCATGTTGGCCAGACTGGTCTCGAACTCCTGACCTCAAGTGATACACCTGCCTCGGCCTCCCAAAGTGCTGGGATTACAAGCATGAGCCACTATGCCCGGTCACCAGCTGCTCTTAACCACCCCTCAGGGACCTTGTGCTGCTCTTGCTTCTCCAGTCATGGGCTCTACCTACCAGCATCCGGCCTCCCTGGTCAGCATCCCTTTTTGTCTTCTACTTGACGGATGTCTCCTTCTCTTGGAAATTTTAGGACAGTTCATGGAGATCCTATATATACAAGATTTGCTGGCTTCAGCCACAAAGTTTCTTCAGGCCTGATTTCCTCCTCCAGCTCCCCAGTCCTGACTTCAGTTCTCACTCTACCCCTGCCACCTGTATCTTCTACTTCTCCTGTGTTTGCACGTTTTATTTTATATTCTCATAAACAGATTCCCCATCCATACACATACTGCCCAGACCAGTGCCTAATGGTTCTACAATTTATCAAAGAATATCTGCGGTTACCAAATCAGACCCTGGGGATGCCCGCATGGTTTCCCCAAGCAGCCAACTTGTTTCTGTTGTCACACTGCATTCCGGCAGGGCTGCCCAGGTCATTTGAAGGAATCTGGGCCTCCAGCAGCACTTGAGGGTGGCTCTGGGAAAGCATCCTTCACTCTGCAGGGCGCCTGCTTGCTGAACAGGAAAGCCGGGGGCTTTCTGAGGCTGCAGTCAGAACCTGCTGGTGTGTTTTTGGTTTGTTTGTTGTTTTTTGAAATGGGGTCTTGCTTTGGTGCAGTGGTGCAATCATAGCTTACTGCAGCCTCAACCTCTCAGGCTCAAACAATACTCCCACCTCAGCCTCCCAAGGAGCTGGGACTACAGGCATGCACCATCAAGCCTGGCTGATTTTTGTATTTTTTGTAGAGAAGGGGTTTCGAACTCCTGGCCTCAAGTGATCCTCCTGCATTGCCCTCCCAAAGTGCTGGGATTACAGGCATGAGCCACTGCGCCCGGCCCTGCTGATGTTGAACAGGTTTTGCCACTGCCTGGTACCATACTCGTGATGAGGGTGGCTGTTTTAGGGGAGCCCTGAATCAGCAGAGGGGACCAGTGCCTGCGCACAGAAGTCTTAGGGCACGTCCCAGCCCTTTCTTTTCCCTCAACATCTCCTGAGGAGCCTGTAGTCACTCTGACACTGTCACAGTGCCTCTGGAGCCCCTCCTTTCCCTAAGTCCCATCCACAACTCCTTGGGACAAATGGTTTTGCATCATTCTCACCTGGCCCAGGTCTCCTTCTTGTCCATAGGGCTGTTATGACAGCCTTTGACGGACACCTCTCTGAGACCAGGTGCCATGCTTGACCTTTTCCTGAGCAGCTGATTTGCTTCCTGTCAATGGAAAGCAACGCAGCTGGTCTGGTATGTCTCATTCTTGATAAATCTCTTCGTTCTTTTGAACCCGCTGGCTCCAGGGATCATACTTCTTTCTGAAAACCTGAGTTGTTCCCATTGAACTTGCCAGCGGCCTTGTCAGGAGGTTTCTCTGTTTCAATTTTTAGTTCTCGGCTCCGTGAGGGATGAGACTGGAACACGATGCTGCAGCCCTGCTCTCTCCTCAGTGAAGGCTGAAGGTGTGTGACATGGAAGGTGAGAAGGTGGCACAGACGGGGTCGCTCCATGAGAGGAGGAGTGCAAGGAGAGAGGAGAGGCGGCCAGAGGGCTCAGACCTCCAGGACCCTCAGGGGAGGGGGCACGAAGATGAGCCAGGAAAAACCGTGAGAAGGAACAGCGCAAGGCCGGCTGGGGCCAGAGCCAAAGAGAGGGTCATCGGCCGCAGAGGTGGGTGACGGTCCTGAGCGCTCACTGCTGACTGTTAGGCGCCACTGAGGGTATTGCACTCTCACCATTCAATGCCATGAAAGGGAGGGAGGAGGCAGCGCTGACCTGCAGAGGGCAGGAGGGCAGAAAGAACTGGTTTGGGCTGGTTGTTTTTGTTTTTGCCATGGAGGAACATGTTGGTCCACAGAGGGGAAGCCTCGGGAAGAAAGGAAAACACTGAACATGCAAAAGGTGAAGGAAATAATTGACCGAGCCAAGTCCCCCTTGAAGGAGGAGGATGCGAAGGTGGGAAGTCATTGTGTTAATTGAAGCAGAGGGTGATACCCCAGGGTGCACAGTCTGATCAAGTCTGATAAAGGTGGACAGAAGCTCCCAGCTCAGCCTAAAGGTGGCATCTCCTCAACTCCCATCCCCCAGTCTGAATCTTGGGATCTTAGCAGTGCATGGGCCTGGAGACCAAAGCAATGTTAGGAGAAGGATGAAGGCCTGTAGGGAAAAAAAAAAGTGTGAGCGCGGCTGGCTTGCCCTGAGCCAATTTACTCATGGGGGTGCCTGGAAAGAGGACATGAAGGAAGAGAAAGAAAGAGAATACACACACACACATACACACACACACATACACGCTAGCCAAACCCACAGGGCAGGCTTTAGTCTATTTTTCCTGCAGTCACCTATAAGGGAGAATGAGATGAGAAAGCGAACACAAGAAGCCAGGCCCTAACATAGGTCCCTCCATGCCTTCTGACTTCCCTCCTGCCCACTGCACGGAGGCAAATGAAGAGTAGAAGAAAGCTTCCAGCGCCAGGCCTGGGATTGAGTGCACCCGACTTGGGTCCTCGGTAAATACACCCCAGAACTTCCTAAGTCATCGCTCTTCTCAGTCATGGGAGCAACTGGGGTCTGGGATCAGCACAAGTGCTCAAGAGCTTAGAACTGTGCCAGGCTGTTCTAACATAAAAAGGCACCCTCCGTAGCTGCTGAATGCATGACTACTTGAATGTATTCATTATAATGTATATTTGTTATATATTTTTGAGACAGAATGTCTTCCTGTCACCCAGGCTAGAGTGCAGTGACATGATCTTGGCTCACTCCAACCTCCACCTCCCGGGTTCAAACGATTCTCCTGCCTCAGCCTCCTGAGTAGCTGGGATTACAGGCACCTGCCACCATGCATGGCTGATTTTTGTATTTTTAGTAGAGACAGGGTTTCACCATGTTGGCCAGGCTGGCCTTGAACTCCTGACCTCAGGTGATCCACCCGCCTCAGCCTCCCGAAGTGCTGGGATTACAGGTGCGAGCCACTGCACCCAGCCCTAAATATCTCTTGAATGAATGACTAAATGTATTTACCGTGCATTGGAAAAAAAAATATATGATTGGCATGTTAAACCCATGATTTCACAAATAATATTGGTTAGAAAAGGCTAAGTTTAAAAAAATGAATTGACTTAAAGTTGATTTCAAGAAAGCTATAAATAGAACCTGGGAGGTTAAGTCTGCAGTGAGCCAGGCTCACACCGCTGCACTCCAGCCTGGGTGATAGAGTAAGACCCTGTCTCGAAAGGAAAAAGAAAGAAGAAAGAAAGAAAAAAGAAAAGAAAGAAAGAGAGAGGGAGACAGAAAGAGAGAGAAAAAAGAGAGAGAAAGAGAGAGAGAAAGAGAGAGAGGGAGATAAAGAAAGGGGGGAAATAAAAAGAAGAAAGAGAGAGAAAGAAGAAGAAAGGAGAAAGAGAAAAAAGAGAGGGAGAGAGAAAGAGAGAAAAAGAAGGAAGAGAAAGAAAGAGAGAAAGGGGGAGAAAGAAGAAAGAGAAAGAAAAGAAAGAAAGAGAGAAAGAAGGAAAGAAAGAAGGAAGGAAGAAATAAGTAAAATAATATTACAAGCTGTGCTTGGTACAGCATTGAGCCCGAGGTGCACTGTCTCCCCTCCTGCCTGCGTCACCCACAAGGGCCTACATCACCTTCTGCCTGGCTGGCAGAGAGGAAGGAAACTCATTAAGTGTCAGATGGTGGATGTGCACTTTGCCTAGGTATCTCCTTCACCTGCTCCCAGCCCTCTGAAATTTATTCCTCCGGAAGTACTATCAACCTTAGAGAAGTTAACTTGTCCAAGATCAATCAACTGTAAATGGCAGAGACAGAATTCAAACTAAGCTCTGCTGACTTCAAATCTTGCTCCTTTCACTGTCTTCCAGCCGAGTAGAAGAGAGCGGTCAGTGTATACAGCATTGTTCAGCTTGGGAGGGGAAGGACGAGGGAGTTTGCCTAGGAGTTTCCCTGTCTTTATGAAGTCAGTGGCTAGATCTTCTGCTGAGCTACTGTGGGGGAATTTGATAAGAAATCACCCTGATTGAAGCTTTTATCCTGTTCTGATAGAAAATTCAAAGAAATAAAAGCACTGGAAAGGGGAGACCCTTGGGGAGTAAATGTACCACCATCCATGACATTTTATGTTGGGACCAATCGATTTATCCATTGGGTATGTACTTTTACACTTATCCTCATATTTGAGGAAGGGCCAAATTTTTATGACTTTCCCTTACTATAGAGATCTCTAACTCCTTGTTACTCAAAGTATGGTTTGTGGACCAGCAGTAGGGTGACCAACCATCCCGATTTGCCTGGAGCTCTGAGATTTTCTGGGACAAGGGACTTTCAGTGCTAAAACTGAGGTAGTCCTGGGATGAGTTGGTCACTCTAACCAGCAGCACCAGCATCCCCTGGGAGCTTGTTAGAAATGGAGAATTCCAGGCTTACTGTATCAGAATCTGCACTTGAACAAGACCATACACACATTCAGGTCAGAAAAGCATTTCTCTAGGTTAAATATTGGTAGAGTGGGTTGAATGGTGGGTGGGCTTTATCTAATCAGTTGAAGGCCTCAATAGAACAACCCCCTATATTAGTCAGGGTTTTCTATAGAAACAGAATCTATAAACTTAGTTTAAGGAATTGGGTCACACAATTGTGGGAGCTCGATGAATTCAAAATCTGATGGGGGAGACCCAGGAAGCAGCTGCGGTTCAAGTCCAAAGGCAGTTAGGCTGGAAACCCAGATGAGGTCCAAAACCATATGCTGGCAGAATTCCCTTTTGCTTGGGGGAGGTCAGCCTTTTGTTTGATTCAGGCCTTCAACTGATTAGATAGAGCCCACTCACATTATGGAGGGCAATTCACTTTGCTCAAAGTCCATCAATCTAAAGGGAAATCTCACCCCAAAACACCCTCACAGAAACATCCAGAACAATGTTTGACCAAATATCTGGGTATCATGGCCCAGGTAATCTGACATAAAAAATTAACCATCACAGAAATCCCTGGAACCTGTGTTATCTTATCTGAAAAAAGAGTCTTTGAAGATGTTAGAAAGGATCTTGAAATGAGGAGATTATCCTGGATTCTCCAAGAAAGCCCCCAACTTAATGACAAGTGTCCTTATAAAAGACACACAGGGCCGGGTGTGGTGGTTCACACCTGTAATCCCAGCACTTTGGGAGGCCGAGGCGGGTGGATCACCTGAGGTCAGGAGTTTGAGACCAGCCTGGCCAACACGGTGAAACCCCGTCTCTACTAAAAAAATACAAAAATTAGCTGGGCGTGGTGATGGGAGCCTGTAATCCCAGCTACTCAGGAGGCTGAGGCAGGAGAATTGCTCGAGCCTGGGAGGCGGAGGTTGCAGTGAGCTGAGATCGGGCCTCTGCACTCCAGCTTGGGTGACAAGAGTGAAATTCCATCTCAAAAAAAAAAAAAAAAAGACACACAGGCTGCCATGGTGGCTCACACTGGATCGCTGGAGGCTAGGAGTTCAAGGCCAGCCTGGGTAACATAACAAGACCCCCATCTCTATTTTATAAAAAGAGAGAGAGAGAGAAAGAAAGGAGAGACATATCAAAGAGATGAAGGCTGTGTGAAGGTGGAGAAGAGATTGGGGTAATGTGGCCACAAACCAAGGAAGCCAAGGAATGCCTCCAGCCACCAGAAACTGGAAGAGGCAAAGAAGAATCCTCCCCAAGAGCCTCCAGAGGGAGCATGGCCTGCCAACACCTTGATTTTGGACTTCTGGCCTCCAGAACTGTGAGAGAATGAATGTCTACTGTTTCAAGACACCGGTTCGTGGCAACTGGCTATGGGAGCCACAGGAAGCTAATACGACTGGGAAATGGCAAGAAGCTTGTCTACCTGACTTCTCTGCAGGGCAGTGGGTCCACACCACGCACTTGCACACATACTAGGAGGGAGGCCAGAGGCAGTCCTCGCTTCCTCAGGGACCCCTTCCTGCTGGTCTCCTCCCACCTCCTGCCCGGGTTCTGCTCTGCCACAGTAGCTCAGCTCTGTGTCCCCACCGCTAGCCGGCATCTCCTCCCTGCTCTGCACCACAGTCCTGTGTGCTTCACTCTGCAGACCCCAGGCTCCAAATATGTCATCTTTATTCTCTCTCTCAGATCTAGGAGGCCTTCATCCCTCACCTCAGCCCTGGGCCCACCTGCTGCCACTATCTCTCAAGTCACAAGCATTTATTGTGCATCTGCTAGGAGTTGGGCACTTGAAGTGCTGGGGGCCCCTAGAAGTTTCTGCCCTTCAGAAGTTCACTGTCTGCTCAGTAATTTTCCATCGTCTCACCTCTCTGAAAACATCGCCTCTGGCCATTGATTTCCAGGAATCTGCTTAGTGCCTGCACCTCCTCCCCCTCACAGGATGCAAGGATACCTGTGTGTGGGATATTAGAGCTGAAATGTAACTGCAGAGTCTCTTTCAAAGGTGCACAGTTTCATTTGTTGGTCATCACTGTGGAAAAAACCATATGCCAAATGAAAGTAAAGCAAGGGTCTGGGCGTGGTGGCTCATGTCTGTAATCCCAGCACTTTGGGGGGCCGAGGTGGGTTGATCACTTGAGGTCAGGAGTTTGAGATCAGCCTGGCCAACATGGTGAAACCCCATCTCTACTAAAAACACAAAAATTAGCCGGGCATGGTGGTGTGCCCCTGTAGTCCCAGCTGCTGAGGAGGCTGAGGCAGGAGAATTGCTTGAACCCAGGAGGTGGAGGTTGCAGTGATCCAAGATTGAGCTACTGCACTCCAACCTGGGCAACAGAGTGAGACTCTGTCTCAGAAAAAAAAAAAAAAAAAAGAAAAGAAAAGAAAGTAAAGCAGGGGCTGAATTTGACATAAATAATGACAAATTATTATTTCATTAAAGCCACAGACCTAAGGCCTAGTCTTATTTGTATAAGAAAAGATAAGGAACAATGATGTTACATTTTCTAATCTAGAGTAGCTAAAAGTTTACACAAATGTTAACCCAGTACTAGAAAATGTGAGGATAGGTCTGATTCCATATCTTGCATCTTAAAAAAGTCATACTGTAAAATCTACTTCAATAATCAAGATGTTTAATCAGTATAGATTTGTGCGTATTTATCCCCGTGTTATGCTCTGTGAGTCCAAGAATAACTCATTCTATTGTGCTTTGCTTTATCACACCTTGCAGATACTGCACGTTTTACAAATGGAAGGTTTATGGCAACCCTGCCTGGAGCAAGGCTATCGGTGCCATTTTTCCAACAGCATGTGCTCACTTCACGTCTGTGTCACATTTTCATCATTCTTACAGCATTTCAAACTTTTTCATTATTATAATTATGACTGTGATTATTATTTCGAGACAGGGTCTCACTCTGTTGCCCAGGCTGGAGTGCCGTGGTGCGACCACTGTAGCCTCAACCTCCTGGGCTCAAACAATCCGCCCACCTCAGCCCCTTGAGTAGCTGGGACTACAGACGCATGCCACTAGTTTTTTTAATTTTTTTGTAGAGACAGGGTCTCATTATGTTGTCCAGGCTGGTCTTGAGTTCCTGGACTCAAGTGATCCTCCAACCTCAGCCTCCCGAAGTGCTAGGTTTACAGGCATGATCAGTGACCTTTGATGTTACTATTGTAATTGTTTTGAGGTGCCACAAATCGCACCCATATAAGACAGCAAACTTAATCAATAAGTGTGCATGTTCCGATTGCTCAACTGACCAACCGGCTATTTCCCCATCTCTCTCCCCTCTTCCGTGGGCCTCCCTACTCCCTGAGACACAATAACATTGAAGTTAAGCCAACTAATAATCCTACAATAGCCTCTAAGTGTTCAAGTGAAAGGAAGAGTCGCACGACTCTCACTTTAAATCAAAAGCTACAAATGATTAAGCTTAGTGAGGAACGCATGTCGAAAGCTGAGATCGGCCAAAAGCTATGCCTCTTGTGCCAGTTAGTCAAGTTGTGAATGCAGGGGAAAAGCTGTTGAAGGATGTTGAAAGTGTCACTCCAGGGAACATACAAATGATAAGAAAGCAAAACATCCTTATTGCTGATACGGGGAAAGTTTGAGTAGTCTGGATAGAAGATCAAACCAGCCACAACATTCCCTTTAGCCAAAGCCTAATCCAGACCAAGGCCATAACTCTTCAATTCTGTGGAGGCTGAGAGAGGTGAGGTTATCTATAGAAGAAAACTTGGAAGCTAACAGAGGCTGGTTCATCAGATTGAAGGAAAGAAGCCAGCTCTATAACATAAAAGTGCAAGGTGAAGCAGCAAGTGCTGATGTAGAAGCTGCAGCAAGTTATCCAGAAGATCTGGCTAAGATCACTGACGAAGGCGGCTGCGCTAAACAACAGATTTTCAATGTAGATAAAACAAACAGCTTTCTCTTGGATGAAGAGGCCATGTAGGACCCTCATAGCTAGAGAGGAGAAGTCAGTGCCTGGCTTCAAACTTTAAAGAACAGGCTGGCTCTCTTATTAGGAGCTAATGCAGCTGGTGGCTTTAAGTTGAAGTCAGTGCTCATTTGCCATTCTGAAAATTCTAGGACCTTTAAGAGTTATGCTAAAGCTGGCCAGGCGTGGTGGCTCACGCCTGTAATCCCAGCATTTTGGGAGGCCGAAGGGGGTGGATCACCTGAGGTCAGGAGTTTGAGACCAGCCCGGCCAACATGGCAAAACCCCATCTTTACTAAAAATACAAAAATTAGCCAGGTGTGGTGGTGCATGCCTGTGATCCCAGCTACTCAGGAGGCTGAGACAGGAGTATCACTTGAACCCAGGAGGCACCCGGGAGGCAGAGGTTGCCGTAAGCTGGGATCACACCACTGCACTCCAGCCTAGGCAACACAGCGAGACTCTGTCTCAAAAAAAAAAAAAACAAAAAAAAAACATGCTAAAGCTACTCTTCTTGTGCTCTATAAATGGAATAGCAAAGCCTGGATGACAGCATATCCGGTAATTAGCATGGTTTACTGAATATTTTAAGCCCACTATTGAGATTTACTGCCCAGAAAAAGAAGAAAAGATTCCTTTCAGAAAATTACCACTCACTGACAGTTCACCTGGTCACCCAAGGGCTCTGATGAAGATGTGCAAGGAGATGAATGTTGTTTTCATGCCTGCTAACACAACATCCAGTCCATAGCCCATGGATCAAAGAGTAATTTTGACTTTCAAGTCCTATTACTTAAGAAATACATTGGCCGGGCATGGGGGCTCACGCCTGCAATCCCAGCACTTTGGGAGGCTGAGGCGGGCGGATCATGAGGTCAAGAGATCGAGACCATCCTGGCTAACATGGTGAAACACTGTCTCTACTAAAAATACAAAAATTAGCTGGGCTGGGTGGCACACGCCTGTAGTCCCAGATACTTGGGAGGCTGAGGCAGGAGAATTGCTTGAACCTGGGAGGTGGAGGTTGCAGTGAGCCAAGATTGCGCTACTGTACTCCAGCCTGGGTGACAGAGCAAGACTCCATCTCAAAAAAAAAAAAAAAAAAAAAGAAAGAAATACATTTTGTTGGGCCATAGCTGCCATTGATCTTGATTCCTCTAATGGATCTGGGCAAAGTAAATTGAAAGACTTTGGAAAGAATTAATCATTCTAGATGCCATTAAGAACATTCATGATTCATAGGAGAAGGTCAAAATAGCCACATTAACAGGATTTGGGAGAAGTTGATTCCAACGCTCATAGTTGACTTTAGGGGGCTCAAGACTTCTGTGGAGGAAGTAACTGCAGATGTGGTAGACACAGCAAGAGAAGTACAGTTAGAAGTGGAGCCTGAAGATGTGACTGAATTGCTGCCATCTCACAATCAAACTTGAATGAAGGAGGTGTTGTTTCTTCTGAATGAGCCAAGAACATCTTTTCTTGATGTGGATTCTACTCCTGATGAAGACGCTGTGGACATTGTTGAAATGACAACAGAGGATTTAGAATATTACATAACGCAGTTCATAAAGCAGTGGCATGGTTTGATAGGATTGATTCCAGTATTGAAGGAAGTTCTACTGTGGGTAAATGCTATCAAATAGTATCTCATGCTACAGAGAAATCTTTGGTGAAAGAGTCAATCGATGTAGCAAACTTCATCATTGTTTTATTTCAGGAAATTGCCACAGGCATCCTGATCTTCAGCAGCCACCACCCTGATCAGTCACCAGCCACAACACTGAGGCAAGACCCTCCAGCAGCAAAAAGATGACTCACTGAAGGCTCAGGTGATCATTAGCATTTTTCAGTAATAAAGTATTTTACAAGACCAGTGCTCTAACCCATTAGCTATGGAGCCGTAATAAAGTATTTTAAAATTCCAGCGGGCATGGTGGCTCACGCCTATAATCCCAGCACTTTGGGAGGCTGAGGAGGGTGGATCACCTGAGGTCAACAGTTCGAGACCAGCCTGGCCAACATGGAGAAACCCCGTCTCTACTAAAAATACAAAAATTAGCCGGGAGTGGTAGCGGGGGCCTGTAATCCCAGCTATTCAGGAGGCTGGGGCAGGAGAATCGCTTGAACTCATGAGACAGAGGTTGCAGTGAGCT
Organism: Homo sapiens; assembly: GCF_000001405.40. Lineage (NCBI taxonomy): Eukaryota > Metazoa > Chordata > Mammalia > Primates > Hominidae > Homo > Homo sapiens. The sequence goes on along the minus strand of NC_000009.12, from coordinate 36,284,063 downwards.
GAGATCACGCTACTGTACTCCAGCCTGGGTGACACGGTGAAACTCTGTCTCAAAATAAATAAATAAATAAATAAATAAATAAATAAATAAGGTATATATGTTGTGCTGGGTGCAATGGTGGATGCCTGTAATCCTAGCACTTTGGGAGGTCAAGGCAGGTGGACTGTTTGAGCCCAGGAGTTTGAGACCAGCCTGAGCAACATAGTGAGACCCCATCTCTAAAAAAATACAAAAAATTAGCTGGGTGTGGTGACTCATGCCTGTACTCCCAGCTACTCAGGAGGCTGAGGTGGGAGGTTCGCTTGAGCCCTGAAGGCAGAGGTTGCAGTGAGCCGAGATTGTGCCACTGCACTCCAGCCTCGGCAACAGAGTGAGCCCTGTCATTAAGAAAAAAAAAAAAAAAAAAAAAACGGCCGGGCGCAGTGGCTCATGCCTGTAATCCCAGCACTTTGGGAGGCCGAGATGGGCGGATCACGAGATCAGGAGATCGAGACCATCCTGATGAACACGGTGAAACCCCATCTCTACTAAAAATACAAAAAATTAGCCGGGCGTGGCAAGCGCCTGTAGTCCCAGCTACTCGGGAGGCTGAGGCAGGAGAATGGCGTGAACCCAGGAGGCGGAGCTTGCAGTGAGCCGAGATCGCGCCACTGCACTCCAGCCTGGGAGACAAAGCGAGACTCCGTCTCAAAAACAACAACGACAACAACAACATCAAGGCTGAACTGACCTTTAGCACCAAAGAGACCACTCTGTCTCTCCTCTCTCAGGTTTAACTTTCTCATAAAAATCTTACCCCCAGCCCATTTTAACTTAACTCACAATATATGCCTGGCACTATGCAAGACTCTGGAAATGTGAAGAGGAACAAAATAGCTATGGCTGACCCCTAGTTGGCCACAGTTTATAGTCTACCAGAAATAGTTATCAAAGTGTGGTCTGGGGACCTCGGAGGAGGGAGGGAGAGTCTTGGAGCCCTTTTGGGGCTGTGTGTGAAGGCCAAACTACATTCCTGTATTCATAATAATATAGCCAGTTCTCTTTCTTCATGGTAGTTATGTTCTATAAAGTTGCTGTGAATGCTGAATAAGTGAATACTGAATTATTACTCTTAAGGGAAATACAGGGTTAGGTTCCTAAAGCCTCTGGTCATTTTTGTCAACCAACCAATACGTAACTTTGTTTTCTGTGTATTTCTATTTAAAGATACCTTAACATGAGAGGATGGTGGCATGTATGCCATCTCCCATTCATGTTCCTACTTCCCTGGAAGGCTGAGATGATTTCTTATGCCTTCCAGGTTCTGATGAGATTAGGGCTTTATGCTGTGGCCCCCTCAGAATAGAGCTGCAGAATACTAAAGCCCTTAGCTGCAGCTAAGAATGAGCTTCTCGAAAGGGCGTCCCATGGCTTGCCTTGCAGTTATCTGACCCCTCTTGTTTTGGTGTTGTCCTTTTGGTGAGTGGGACAAAGACCATAGGAGCTGGCACCTTGAGCCACTCTTCCTTTTGCTGTTTACGTAAGTGCCAAACAGTCTGATCTAAAAGTAGCCTGTTGTACCTTTCCGGTTCAACCAGGCAGGCCTTGTCCTTGCCCTCGTGTGTGCTCAACAAATAGGAAAGACCAAGAGGCAGGTATTAGATCAGCGTATTGCCTAGGCATTCTGCTCATTACTAGCCCATCTGACCCCTACATCTGCAGCCTGAAACCCAGTGATGAGAAAATTCTCCACGTTACAACCCTCATAAATGGCATTAACCTCTTCTAGAAGAAGATGGATTGCAAATGATTTTTAGATGTTCTTGTGGATAATACTTGCAGTATCTACACATTTAACGTTTGTTCATATTACCATCATTGCAGAACACAGGGGTAAAAAAGCTGCAAGTTGGAGAAGGAGTCTTTGCTTCTCCAAAGGAGACTTCTCTCCTCTTTTGCTCTCTCAGGAAAGAGGGGACTCTAAAGTAGTTCACTTAGGGGTGGACCATGCAACATGGCTAAAAATGAGGCCTGCCCAGAGACCAAGGCTTTTCACAACTTCCTCTGTCATTCTGTGAAACTTAGTCTTAAACAGATCAGGGTTTTGCCTGGCTAAAAACTGTATTCTCTACTTTATCTGAAGTGAAATGTATTTCTCCTGTTCCAGCCAGTGACCAATCCAACCATCTTATCCTGGAAAAAAAAAATAAATTGTAAGCATCCTCAAGATGCATTCACTTTCGAAGTTTTATTATTTACTGGCTCACAAAGTAATAATGTACACTGTAAAAAAGTGTGCAAGGCCGGGCTTGTGGTGGCTCACGCCTGTAATCCCAGCTCTTTGGGAGGCCAAGGTGGGTGGATCACGAGGTCAGGAGATCGAGACCATCCTGGCTAACATGGTGAAACCCTGACTCTACTAAAAATACAAAAATTAACAGGGCATGGTGGTGCGCACCTGTAGTCCCAGCTACTCAGGAGGCTGAGGCAGGAGAATCACTTGAACCTGAGAAGCAGAGGTTACAGTGAGCCAAGACTGCGCCACTGCACTCCAGCCTGGCAACAGAGCGAGACTCCGTCTCAGAAAAACAAAACAAAAAAAAGTGCAAAATACAAAAAGTAGAAATAAGCACACAGAAAAATCAGTCTCGCATCTACAAGGAGGCAACAACTGTTAATATTCTAAGATACTTCCCTTAAGTCCTTTATGTATTTTTTTCCTTTACACAAGCACAACTCTATATGCGATCTTGTGCTTAGCCTTTTGATTCACATCATTTCATATTTCTCCATGATTTCACATTGTAAATATCATGTTGACTAACTGCATAGCGATTTGTGGATGCATCAAAATTTACCTAACTCTTCCTCAAACATGTGGCACGTAGGTTAAGAAGCTTGTCACTCTTGACACAAGCTATCTGAATGAGTGACAGACGGTATGGTGTGGTTAAAATAGCAGTGACTTTGCAGTCACATTTTTTGACCCATGTTTGAGATCTGGGTCAGCCACTTGTAACTTGTTTGTGTGACTTTAGGCAAACCACTTAATTTCTCTGAGCCTCAATTCCTTTCCTGGTCTATAAAATAGGACAGGTAACTTCCACTTCACTGAGTTGTTCTAAGTCAGGAGTGGACAGACTATAGCTCAGCGGCCAATTCCAGGCCACTATCTGTTTTTGTAAAAAAAAGTCTCAAAGGCACACAGCCATCTCCATTCCTTTATACATCGTGTATGGCTGCTTTTGTACCACAAGGGCAGAGCAGAGAAGTTGTGACAGAGACATGGCCTGCAAAAATATCTGGCCCTCTATAGAAAAGATTTGATGACCCCTATTCTAAATAATGGACATGAAAGTAATTCTGTAGACAGAAAAAAGCCTAACCAAATGTGAAAGATTATTCATGGCAGAGCCTACAGTAGGTGCTCATTAAACATTTGTTCTAAGGATGTGTAGCTCAATGGAGAATTGTATTCACCAGAATCCCTGCAGAATGAGTCTCTGTTTAGGAGAAGCATGAAGGAGGAGGTGATTCAGAAGAGCATCAGGATGGGGTGAGAACCCTGTGCAAAGGGACAGAAAAGGAGATTTTTAACACCTGGGAAACTACAGGGACAAGGAGAACTGTGTGAAGATGTTTAGAAGCTTTCTGGATGATGCTCTGAATAAAACTCCTGTGCAGCCCAATTAAAGTAAACATCTACAGTAAACATCAACATGGTTCTTTAAGACTCAGAGCAAGACCAGTGTTTATTTAACTTCAACTCAATGTAGGGATTGGATCACAAGGAGTATAGCTTTCAAATAGATTATCAAATGGACAGAATAAAAATAACAGCTCAGGCTGGGCATGGCAGCTCACGCCTGTAATCCCAGCTCTTTGGGAGGTCAGGGCAGGAGGATCACTTGAGCCCAGGAGTTTGAGACCAACCTGGGCAACACAGTGAGACTTCATCTTTGTATTTTAAAATAAGCTAATTAATTAAATAAAAATAAAAATGTCTCTGGGCATGGTGGCTCACGCCTCTAATCCCAGCACTTTGGGAGGTTGAGGCAGGCGCATCACTTGAGGTCAGGAGTTTAAGACCAGCCTGGCCAACATGGTGAAACTCCATCTCTACTAAAAATACAAAAATTAGCTGGGCACGGTGGCATGTGCCTGTAGTCCCAGCTACTCAGGAGGCTGAGGCAGGAGAATCACTTGAACCCAGGAGGTGGAGGTTGCGATGAACCAAGATAACGCGTCACTGCCCTCCAGCCTGGGCGACAGAGTAAGACCTCCGTTTAAAAAAAAAAAAATCAGCCCTAATATTGAATTTACAATACAAAATTTTAATTATATGTGCTCCCATAAAGCACAATGAAGAACATCTTATTTATTAAAAAGAGGATAATATTTCACTGAGCAGGCTGGGCACAGTGGCTCATGCCTGTAATCTCAGCCCTTTGGGAGGCCAAGGAGGGCAGATTGCTTGAGCCCAGGAGCCTGAGCAACATGGCAAAACCTCATCTCTACAAAAAATACAAAAATTAACCAGGCGTGATGGTGGGCTCCTTTAATCCCGGTTACTCAGGAGGCTGAAGCACGAGAATTACTTGAAACCGGGAGGTGGAGGTTGCTGAGCCGAGATCGTGCCATTGCGCTCCAGCCTGGGCGACAGAGCAAGACTCTGTCTTAAAAAAACAAAAAACAGGCTGAGCAAGGTGGCTCATGCCTGTAATCCCAGCACTTTGGGAGGCTGAAGTGGGAGGATCACCTGAGGTCAGGAGTTCGAGACCAGCCTGGCCAACATGGCGAAACCCTGTCTCTACTAAAAATACGAAAATTAGCTGGGGTGGTGGTGCATGCCTGTGATCCCAGCTACTTGGGAGGCTGAGGCTGGAGAATCACTTGAACCTGGGAGGCGGGGGTTGCAGTGAGCTGAGATCGTGCCACTCTACTCCAGCCTGGGTGACAGAGTGATACTCTGTCTCAAAAAAATAAACAAAAATAAATAAATAAAAACAAAAAACAATTTTAAAAAATGGTAGTAAGGTCAGACTTTTGATCATATATTTTTTTGAGTTCCCTAGTGCTATTCTGCCAATTTTTTCTATTGGACAGCTTTTTCTCTCCCATTGCTGATTTGTAAGCTCTCAAGTGAGGTCCTATAGGCAGTCTATGGACAGTATATTAAATACTGGATATTTTTGTTTATTTATTTCTTGAGACAGTGTCTTGCCGTGTGGCCCAGGCTGCAGAGCAGTGGCAAGATCACAGTTCATTGCAGCCTCAAACTCCTGGACTCAAAGCAGTCCTCCCAGTTCAGCCTCCTGAGCAGCTGGGACTATAAGCATGTGCCACCAAGACCAGCTAATTAAAAAAAAATTCTTTTTGTAGAGATGGGTATCTAAATATGTTGCCCAGGCTGGTCTTGAATTCCTGGCCTCAAGTGATCCACCTGCCTTGGCCTTCCAAAGTGCTGGGACTATAGGTGTGAGCCACCATGCCTGGATATTTTTATTGGGAGGAGGGGATGTCTGTCAAGATTAACCAAGAGGAAGTGAAAAAGCATAACAATCATCCATGAAAACTGGCCAAGTGGTGCACACTTTTAGTTCCAGCTACTTGGGAGGCTGAGGCAGGAGGATCACTTGAGTCCAGGTCTAGCCTGGACAATACAGCAAGACCCCACCTCTAAAAAATACTATCCATGGATCCACTCCTTTATCTGCCTGAAAAAAGAAGGTCCTGCCCTGGCACACTTAGAAGTGTTCTCTCCTGCCTCTCTATAAAGACGGAGGAAGCGGAGAAGACAACTTTTTTTTTTTTTTTTAACAGAGTTTTTAGTTAAGAGAGAAAAAAGAGCAGACTGGATGTGAGGAAACAGATGGGAAGAAAGAGCAAAGAGCAGAGATTTAACAAAAAATGTTGTTGAGGGTTATGTATACCTTTAACATATTTGAAAAATATAAGGGCCAGGAGTGGTGGCTCATGCCTGTAATCCCAGCACTCTGGGAGGCCAAGGCGGGTGGATCACCTGAGGTCAACAGTTCAAGACCAGCCTGGCCAACATGGCAAAACCCTGTCTCTACTAAAAAATACAAAAACTAGCTGGGCGTGGTGGCACACACCTGTAATCCCAGCTACTCGGGAGGCTGAGGCTGGAGAATTGCTTGAACCCTGGAGGCAAAGGTTGTAGTGAGCTGAGATTGTGCCACTGCACTCCAGCCTGGGCGACAAGAGCAAGACACTGTCTCAAGAAGAAAAAAAAATAAAGAAAAATATAAGAAAAAAATGAGTTATTTTAGCATGGTGGCTCACACCTGTATTCCCAGCACTTTGGGAGGCCGAGGTGATAGGATTGCTTGAACCCAGGAGTTCGAGATGGGCCTGAGCAACATAGTGAGACCCAGTCTCTTTCAAATAAAATAAAATAGACTTCAGACCATGGTTGACTTCAAAATCTATAAACATACAATGGTTAACTAAGAATTTCTGTGCCTGTGGGGGATACCTTTTAGTATAGTTTCTCTTGAGTGGAATGTGAAGTTGTGTGGTAGATAAGGCTAGGCTGTTCCAGTGGTCAAATGAGCATTTACCAGTGAAATGGAGAGTTGTTTGATAAGTAGATCATTGGTCAGTATCCCTTGCTACCAATCTGGCTGTGAGAGTCCCTAAGCACCAAAAGCAAGACACGAGCAAGACTCCATCTCAAAAAAAAAAAAAAAAAAAAAAAAAAAAAAAAGAAAAGAATAGAAAAAAAAAGTTTAGAATTAGAATTACGTATGTGTGAAAACAATGTGAAAAAAGACTTTTGTAGATTTTTGAACTACAAAAAAGACTTTTGTAGATTTTAAGAAACTCAGAAGAAAACTTTTTCTAGTGGAAAGTAAAATTATTGGATGGAATGGGAAATCCAAAACAGGGAAGTAACACTCAGACGCTGACTGACCACCTACTTTCGAGCTACTGTCCAGGAATATGAGAAGAATTCAGAGCCACATTTTTTTTCTTCCTTTTCAGAGAGGTGGGGCTTACGATTTAGTCTGGAATTCAGATGCCTATTGGTGACTGCTCCGTGGCAGCTAAACCAAGAAAACAGCTGCTCTGCTCATTATTTCAAACCACACTAGGGTACAGAGCTCGTGCTTCGGGATGGAAACCTATGGTTATCTGCAGAGGGAGTCATGCTTTCAAGGACCTCATGTAAGTAATTCGGAATTCAATAGAGCTTTATTATTGAAATTGCAATCAGAAAAAAAGGGGGGAAAAAGGAAAATTACAAAGAGGAAGAGGAAAGCTTTGGTTTTAAATCTATCAAATCCATCATTTTTAAAGACTTTTTTACTGCTAACTCAGTTTAGTCATTCTGTGGCTGCTACTTGCTTCTCAGTTACTGTGCCAAAATTCAGGGTCTTTCTGCATCTCCAAACTGAAAGTTGAAATTGAACTCTTTTCTCCAGATTCCTGGCACTTTCATCAGATAAAGTGGGGTTCCTTTTACTTTTTGAGATCTCTGTTTCATAAATACAGTTTATTTCCAAAACATGCAAAGTTTAACTATTTTGTTTCCTTCCCTTTTGAAACATGGCATGTAGAGCTGCCTGATTTGTACTTCTTTTCCCTCAGTTATTTAACTATTGACTGATCACATGATTGGGGTGGGTGCATTTACTCCAAGTTAATTAGTATCTAAGTCAAATAAAAAGGAAATTATCATGTTTATCAATATATAAATGCGACATATAGTGTGCTATACTATAGTGTAGTTTATTAAACCTAATTTTTCATTGAGGCATATGGAAATCCAAATGTTTTAGGAAATCATCATCACAGTTCAATTAGGTGATTAAAATATATATTCAATTTAAAGATCATCTATAGTTAAGGAATGGCTTATACAAACGTGTGTGTGTGTGTGTGTTTAAAGACAGGATCTTGCTCTGTCACCCAGGCTGGATTGTAGTGGCATAATCATAGCTCACTGCAGCTTTCAACTCCTGGGCTCAAGGGATCCTCCTGCCTCAGCCTCCCAAGTAGTCAGGACTACAGACACAGACTACCATACCCGGCAAACTTTTAAATTTTTTGTAGAGACAAGGTCTTGCTGCGCTGCCCAGGCTGATCTCGAACTCCTGGGCTCAAGTGATGTTCCTGGCTTGGCCTTTCAAAGTGCTGAGATTACAGGCGTTGAGCCCCTGTACCTGGCCTTATAAAAACTTTTCAATCAGATGATATTATTCCTGCAATTATTGCCAACACAGTTTACTCCTAGCTGTATCACCAATGCATACTTTCTATCTGCCTTCTTCAATGAGAATTTATTATTTTTATTTTTTATTAGCACACTTAAATTGAAATTCAAGGTCAGACTTTCTGAGCTTCTAGCTGGAACTTGTAAGTTTTTTTCCTCGTGTCATCAATAAAATCTGCTTAGAAATGGTTGTTTCTAGTTATGAAAGTAATAGTTGTTCTACTCATCTCTCCATCCATTTTTTTTGTATAACTGACTTTAAAAATATGGCCTGAAATAATCATTTCATTCATTTGCCTAATGTTTGGTGGTTTCTATGGCCACACAAGCTCTGAAATACTCTATATGGCCTTTAAGTTATCTTCCAAGTTACTCTGCCACTTAATAATTCAATTATCTTTTCCAATATTCCTCAGTAAAACCTTTCTCCTGTCAGGCTGGTCTCCCCTGTATGCTATTCTCATGCCCATTTTATTGTCTTCAATCACATCATGTTCTCTCTTCCAGGAAATACTCTTTTAAAATGTAAAACTGATAGGGTTTTGTGGCACACTGAATGTGAGACAGAAAGGAGGTGCAGAGGTCAAGAATGCCTCCTAAGATCCTAGTAGGTGATAATACGATTCACTGAGAATTAGGACGGAAGAGAAAGCCCAGGTTTATAAGGAAGAAGAAAGCTCAATTTTGGACAAGCGGATTTGAAGTGCTTGTAGAACACATCCAAATAAAGATGTCCTATAAGTAGCTGAATATTTGGGTTTGGACTGAGAAGACTGGGATAGAAATTCACATCTAGGAATCATTTTAAATGATTGTGAAACCGGCCGGGTGCGGTGGCTCGCGCCTGTAATCTCAGCACTTTGGGAGGCCGAGTCCGGCGGATCACGAGGTCAGGAGATCAAGACCATCCTGGCTAACACAGTGAAACCCCGTCTCTACTAAAAATACAAAAAAAATTAGCCGGGCATGATGGCGGGTGCCTGTAGTCCCAGCTACGCGGGAGGCTGAGGCAGGAGAATGGCGTGAACCCGGGAGGCGGAGCTTGCAGTGAACAGAGATCGCGCCACGGCACTCCAGCCTGGGCGACAGAGCGAGACTCCGTCTCAAGAGAAAAAAAAAAAAAAAGAATGTGAAACCATGCAAGTGGTTGAAGTCATGCTGGAGATACACTAAAATGAGATATAAGGAAGACTACAGAATTCTAGAAAATACTTTTATTTAGGAGTTTGAGAAAGTATGAGTCAGAGAAGTTGGAAGTAGGCAGGAAATCAGGTGTCTTGCAAGCCCAGGATGTAAAATATCTCAAGAATAAGGCAGTGACCAACAGTGTGAAAAAGAAGGGGTTAAGAGAAGAGAAGCCAGAGGGCAGAGAAGACTAGGTACATGGGCAGTTGGAAAAAGAGGGTACGTGGCCAGGAAAGCACCGCTAAATATTTAACAAAGGTGTAAGAGCCTGACACAATGGCTCACATCTCTAACCCCAGCACTTCAGTAGGTTGAGGCAGGAGGATTGCTTGAGGCCAGGAGTTCAAGATCAGCCTGGGCAACATAGCGAGACCCTAGTTCTAAAAAAATTACAAATATTAGCCGGACATGGTGGCACATGCCTGTAGTCCTAGCTACTCAGGTGGCTGAGGGGAGAGGATAGCTTGAACCTAGGAAGTTGAGGCTGCAGTGAGCCATGATCCTGCCACTGCACTCCAGCCTGGGTGATAGAGTAAGACCCTGTCACACACACACACACACACACACACACACACACACACACACACACACAGTACCATAGACCGAAGCACCTGGGTTTCCGCAGAATTTTATGCCCCATTAAATTTAGTGATGTCTAACAGTCATTCAGTTGTCTAAGATTTAGACAGCTATTATGTGAAAAATACCATTAAAGAGTTCCAAATTGGCCGGACGCGATGGCTCACACCTGTAATCCCAGCACTTTGGGGGGCCGAGGCGGGTGGATCGACGTCAGGAGTTCAAGACCAGCCTGGCCAAGATGGTGAGACGCTGTCTCTACCAAAACTACAAAAGTTAGCCAGGTGCGGTGGCAGGTGCCTGTAATTCCAGCTACTCGGGAGGCTGAGGCAGGAGAATCACCTGAACCTAAGCCGAAATCACACCATTGCACTCCAGCCTGGGCAACAGAGTGAGACTCTGTCTCAAAAAAAAAAAAAAAGAGTTCCAAATTGGCCAAGAGTGACAGTAGAACAGAGTCAGGGGCAGAAAAATCTGGTGAAACAGGTAGGGTAAGAAATGTCATTGGGTGCTTTGGGCTAAGAGTAAACAGTGTATTTCAAAACACGTAAAGTTTATGGAGTGTGGCCAGGCGCAGTGGCTCATGCCTGTAATCCTAGCACTTTGGGAGGCTGAGGTGGGTGGATCATCTGAGATCAGGAGTTCGAGACCAGCCTGGCCAACATGTCGAAACCCCGTCTCTACTAAAAATACAAAAATTAGCTGGGTGTGGTGGCGGGTGCCTGTAGTCCCAGCTATTTGGGAGGCTGAGGCAGAAGAATTGCTTGAACCCAGGAGGCGGAGGTTGCAGTGAGCCGAGATCGCACCACTGCACTCTGCCTGAGCCACAGAGTGAGACATTGTCTCAAAAAAAAAAAAAATTTATGGAGTGCATAATGTCTAGCACAAATTTGTGTCTCCAATGTATATCTTCCTCCAGATCCTCAATCTCATGGAAATGTTCTGTAGGTGCTACAAATTCAACATATCCAAAATTAAAGCTCATTATCTTCTCACCTACTCCAGCCCATCTCCAAACCTGCTTCTCTAAGTGCAGTGGTGCAATCTTGGCTCACTGCAACCTCCACCTCCTGCACTCAAGCAATTCTCCTGCCTCAGCCTCCTGAGTAGCTGGGACTACAGGCGCACGCCACCATGCCCAGCTTTTTTTTTTTTTTTTTTTTTGTATTTTTACTAGATGAGGTTTCACCACCACGTTGGCCAGGCTGGTCTTGAACTCCTGACCTCAGGTGATCTACCCGCCTTGGCCTCCCAAAGTGCTGGGCTTACAGATGTGAGCCACTGGGCCCGGCCCCTTCTCCACATTCTTATGATTCCAATCCTCTCATTCTCTATTTCCATTATTACCACTTTAGTTGAGGTCCTGAAATATTATTCCTAACTGGTTTCCCTTCTTCCAGTCCTTCCTCCTCTTCCCAATCCATCTTCTGTAGTTCTTTTTTTTTTTTTTTTTTTTTTTTTGAGGCGGAGTCTCGCTCTGTCGCCCAGGCTGGAGTGCAATGGCGCGATCTTGGCTCACTGCAAGCTCCGCCTCCCGGGTTCACACCATTCTCCTGCCTCAGCCTCCCTAGTAGCTGGGACTACAGGGGCCCGCCACCACGCCCAGATAATTTTTTGTATTTTTAGTAGAGACAGGGTTTCACTGTGTTAGCCAGGATGGTCTCGATCTCCTGAACTTGTGATCCACCTGCCTCGGCCTCCCAAAGTGCTGGGATTACAGGCTTGAGCCACCACACCCAGCCATCTTCTGTAGCTCTAATTAAGCAAATCTGATCATGCCATTTCCCTAATTAAAAACTCTCCCGATTATAGTGAGGGAAAGTCTAACCTCCTTAGCATAACATCATGCAAGGCCCTTGCTGAACTGACCTTGCTCACATCTTGTCTGCATCTCCCAGTTACTTTCTGCCTCCACACATCTATCTCATAAGACCGCCAAATTTCCCACCTTGTTTTTAAATTCACCATGCTGTTTTATGCTTGACTTATTATAAAGATTGAGCAAGAGTGTTGTGTTACTACGATCGTGAGCCTAGATGGTGGAGGATGACCGGTGCAGGCAGTTGAGTAGAAGCAATTTGGCCTAGCCAGAGAGAAAAGAACAAGGATGGCTAGGAATCTTTGGTAGAAGATGTGATCCTCCTTTGACTGAATGTTTATTGACTGTGTTTCTCACCTAAGGTATGATTCAAGGAACTATGAGGGAGACAAGCATACCAAACAGGGCTAACTTCAAGGAATTTATGATCTGATTTTAAAAACGTAGGTCATATATAGTGAGGTGACTAATATGACTGATTTTTCTCGGGTTCCTTATAATACATCAGATGTCTAATATTACAGTCACAAACATATACATTCAAAGATACCAGGTAATTCATCATAAGTATAACTAATAATAAGTTTGAGGTCAGGCATGGTGGCTCACGCCTGTAATCCCAGCACTTTGGGAGGCCGAGGCAGGCAGATCACCTGAGGTCAGGAGTTCGAGACTAGCCTAGACAACATGGTGAAACCCCGTCTCTAGTAAAAATACAGAAATTAGCCAGGTGTGATGGCAGGCGCCTGTAGTCCCAGCTACTTGGGAGGCTGAGGCAGGAGAATCGCTTGAACCCGGGAGGTGGAGGTTTCAGTGAGCTGAGATCGTGCCACTGCACTCCAGCCTGGGCAACAGAGCGAGACTCGGTCTCAAAACAAAATGAAACAAAAAGTTTGAGATGAGTAAAGACAAGTGCTCCGGGAATTCAGAGAAGGAACAGATTATTTTGGGATAGGGTGTTCATATTAGGTTTCACAATAGAGATGGCGTTTGAAACCTGATTGGGTGTAAGCAGCAGACAAGGAAGAGCCTTCTAACTTTGAGGAATGATACAAAGGTAGAGAAAGAACTCTTTGGGGCAGAAGGATCCGGGAGGGGAATAATGTTGGTAAGATCAGCAAAAGGTCAGGACCCTTAAATTGTGGAGGACCTTAAATGACAAACTTGTTCCCCTAGGCATACTTTATCTAGCAGGGAATGGGGGACCACTGAAGTTTTTCTTAAAGTCTTAACGAGATGAAAGCAGCCTTTTAAGAAGATTTAATCAGGCAATAATGTGCAAGATAGATGAAAGGAGCGAGGGAATGCAGGCAGGAAGGACAAGAAGAAATAGAGTAATCCAGGTCTTTGTTAATTCCACTTATTTATTTTATTATTAAGAGATGGGGCCTTACAATGTTGCCCAGGCTGGACTCAAACTCCTGGGCTCAAGAAATCCTCCTGTCAGGCCGGGCGTGGTGGCTCACGCCTGTAATCCCAGCACTTTGGGAGGCTGAGGTGGGCGGATCACGAGGTCAGGAGATCGAGACCATCCTGGCTAACATGGTGAAACCCCGTCTCTACTAAAAATACAAAACATTAGCCGGGCGCGGTGGCGGGCGCCTGCAGTCCCAGCTACTCGGGAGGCTGAGGTAGGAGAATGGTGTGAACCCAGGAGGCGGAGCTTGCAGTGAGCCGAGATCGTGCCACTGCAGTACGGCCTGGGCGAAAGAGCGAGACTCCGTCTCAAAAAAAAAAAAAAAAAAAGAAAGAAATCCTCCTGTCTCAGCCTCCCAAGTAGCTGGGATTACAGGCGTGCATGCACTACTGCACCCAGGTTAATAGTGGGCTTTGATGCCCGATTTTCTTGATTCTAAAACACTATTGATATAATAGTTTGTATAATAAAAAACTCTACATTAAATATTTACATTGATTATAAATATTGATTTTAGGTATATAAAATCATTTAAAAAAAGCATCTCAGAATTAAGGAAATAAGATGATAAGATCTGAACTAAGGCCAGGTGCAGTGGCTTATGTCTGTAATACCAACACTTTGGAAGGCAGAGGCAGGAGGATCACTTGAGGCCAGGAGTTCGATACCAGCCTGGGCAACAAAGCAAAACCCTGTCTCTACAAAAGTTTTGATAAATTAGCTAGGCATGGTGGCATGTGCTTTAAGTCCCAGCTACTTGGGATGCTGGGGTCACAGGATCGCTTGAGCCCAGGATTTTGAGGCTGCAGTGAGCCACAACCATACCACTGCACTACAAGCTGGGCTAGAGAGCAAGACCCTGTCTCTAAGAAAACCCAACAACCGGCCGGGCGCGGTGGCTCACGCCTGTAATCCCAACACTTTGGGAGGCCAAGATGGGCGGATCACCTGAGGTCAGGAGTTCAAGACCAGCCTGGCCAATATGGTGAAACCCCGTCTCTACTAAAAATACAAAAATTAGCTGGGTGTGGTGGTGGGCGCCTGTAATCCCAGATACTCAGGAAGCTGAGGCAGGAGAATCGCTTGAACCTGGGAAGCAGAGGTTGCAGTGAGCTAAGATCACACCACTGCACTCCAGCCTGGGCGACAGAGCGAGACTCCGTCTCAAAAAAAAAAAAAAAGAAAGAAGAAAGAAAACCCAACAACATAAACTGAGATAACATTTTGAATTATTTGAAAGATTGAATGTTAAAGTCAGAGAGAGCGAAGATTAAAATATGACTCCATGATTTTGAGTCTGAATGAAAGTGTCAAGTTAGTACCATTAAAAGAAATAGCAAAGTCAACAGGATAAAATGAACTTTCATATATTGAGTTTGAAGTGAGGAACTATCTAGTAGGCAATTGAACATAGGGGCCTCAAGCTGGGAAGAAAGGCCAGGCTGGAGTATGTATCCTAGGAATTACCTACATGGAAGTGATAATGGAAGGCTTGAGAGTGAGCCAATTTCTGAAAGAATGAGTACGCAGAGGGGCAGGGGCAGGAGCTAATCATAAGAGAGTGTTCATGTTAAGGGGCAAGAGGAGGAGTAGGGACAAAAAACAAATAATTTGAAAGGTAGAATTATATTCATTCCAGAGTAGGGGCATGAAAAACATGAGGAGAGAGAGAGGTTGAGGCCTTATGTTCATGCTTAGGCTTTTTTTTTTTTTTTTGAGACGGAGTCTCGCTCTGTTGCCCAGGCTGGAGTGCAGTGGCAAGAACTTGGCTCACTGCAACCTCCGACTTCCAGGTTCAAGCGATTCTCCTGTCTCAGCCTCCCAAGTAGCTGGGATTACAGGCACACAGCACCACACCCAGCTAATTTTTATATTTTTAGTAGAGATAGGGTTTCGCCATGTTGGCCAGGCTGGTCTTGAACTCCTGACCTCAGGTAATCCACCCACTTTGGCCTCCCAAAGTGCTGGGATAATAGGTATGAGCCACCACGCCCGGCCTGTGGGCTATTCTTCAGTTCCAGGAGTTCTGGACCAGTACCTTGGCTGTTTCCTTAGCTTACGTTGGGAAATAATAAAATTTCCCCAGAAGCGTGTTACTGATATTCAGTGCTGTTGATCTTAGCTAGTTCCTTTAAAGTCCAGAAGAACATACTTCCCACATACCTTTGTTTGTTTTTGAGATGGGGGTCTCACTCTGTCCCCCAGGCTGAGATGCAGTGGCATGATCATGGCTCACTGCAGCCTCAGCCTCCCAGGCTCAGGTGATCCTCCCACCTCAGCCTCCCGAGTAGCTAGTTACTCCAGGTGCATGCCACGATACCCAGCTAATTTTCTGTATTTTTTGTAGACATTGGGTTTCACCATATTGCCCATGCTGGTCTTGAACTCCTGGGCTAAAGCAATCCACCCGACTCAGCCTCCTAAAGTGCTAGGATTATAGGTATGAACCACCACACCCAGCTTCCCACATAACTTTTAATGAGAAGTTTAGAGCATAATTGTGTTGATCCAACATTTTATAAGAGAGTCAAAGTTAAAGGCAAACTAGTTTTTAACACATTTCCAGTTCTTCTGGAATGGCTGTGCCAATTTAACTTTCTGAATTTCTATTAGTCAGGGATGACTGAGCATTCTCTGACTCACTTCATTTCCCAAGCAGCCAGATAAGAAATAATTTATTGGTTTACAATATGATACTTTTTTTTTTGAGATGGGGTCTCACTCTGTTGCCCAGGCTGGAGTGCAGTGGTGTGATCATGACTCACTGCGGCCTGGACCTCCCAGGCTCAGGCGATCCTCCCGCTTCAGCTTCCTGGGTAGCTGGGACTACAGGCAAGCACCACCATGCCCAGCTAAATTTTTTAAATATTTTTTGTAGAGACAGGGTCTTGCCATGTTGCCTAGGCTGGTCTCGAACTCCTAGACTCAAATGATCACAAAAGTGTTGGGAAGACAGGCATGAGCCACTGCACTCAGCCTGGTTTACAGTATGATACTTTCAATTAGCAATAATCGCACCTTGGATAAACCTCATTGGCTACGATACTGCCACTGCACAAAGCTACAGTATGATACTTTCATAGCCCATAAAGAAAAATATATATATGTAATGTTCATATATATATATATTTTGTTTGTTTGTTTGTTTGTTTGAGACAGTCTCACTCTGTCACCCAGGCTGGAGTGCAGTGGTGTGATCTCAGCTCACTGCAACCTCTGCCTCCTGCATTCAAGCGATTCTCATGCATAAGCTTCCCGAGTAGCTAGGATTACAGGCACCTGCCACCACGCCTGACTAATTTTCGTATTTTAGTAGAGATGGGGTTTCACCATGTTGGCCAGGCTGGTCTCAAACTCCTGACCTCAGGTGATCCACCTGCCTCGGCCTCCCAAAGTGTTGGGATTACAGGCATGAGCCACCGCACTCAGCCAAAAAATATATTTTAAAATCCTGAGAAAAGGCAATATTTCACAAAAACAAAGTCATTATGTTAATTTGTACCTTTCTTCTATGATTGGCAAAGGAGCATAGGGATGGCTCACCACCACAGGTGCTCTAAAAAGCTGACTGGTCGGCATGATAAACTGATTCGTAATTGGGGCTACAAATAGTGATTAAATGGTCCTGAAATATAAATTTCAAAAAGATTATCTTCCAGTTATAAGTATCTTAATCAGTACATTTGTAAGTATCTTTCAATGTTATGCTCTTGCAAAGCTTAAGCTGATACAGTTTAGGATATTGCTGAATTATTTTCAGCCAATATAATCTCTTTTTTTGAGACTGAGTCTCACTCTGTTGCCCAGGCTGCAATGCAGTGGCACGATCTCGGCTCAGTGTAACCTTCGCCTCCCAGGTTCAAGCAATTATCCTGCCTCAGCCTCCCGAGTAGCTGAGATTACAGGCGGGGGCCACCACCCGGTTAATTTTTGTATTTTTTTTTTTTGAGACGGAGTCTTACTTTGTCACCCAGGCTGGCGCCATCTCGGCTCACTGCAAGCTCCGCCTCCCGGGTTCACCCCATTCTCCTGCCTCAGCCTCCCGAGTAGCTGGGACTACAGGCGCCCGCCACCACGCCCGGCTAATTTTTTGTACTTTTAGTAGAGACGGGGTTTCACTGTGTTAGCCAGGATGGTCTCGATCTCCTGACCTTGTGATCCGCCTGCCTCGGCCTCCCAAAGTGCTGGGATTACAGGCGTGAGCCACCGCACCCAGCCTAATTTTTGTATTTTTAGTAGAGACGGGATTTCACCGTGTTGACCAGGCTGGTCTCAAAGTCCTGACCTCAGGTGATCCACCTGCCTCGGCCTCCCAAACTGCTGGGATTACAGGCATGAGCCACTACTCCTGGCCTCAGCCAATATAATCTTAATCCTTACATGCTTTTCCTGGGAGAAAAGAATTGCTTTCCCCATGTAGTGTAGCCTCATAAGGCTATTCTGCAACAGGAGCAATTTTCTTTTCTGGGGAGGCTATAAACAATCTGGCGTATGCAGTGATATCTGGTTTGTAAGGTGTGTTTTACCTCTGTATACTCTAGAGTAGGGGGTCCCCAACCCCTGGGCCATGGACTGGTACTGGCCAGTGTCTTGTTAAGAACTGGGCCGCAGGCCAGGTCGGGCGCGGTGGCTTATGCCTGTAATCGCAACACTTTGGGAGGCTGAGGTGGGTGGATCACTTGAGGTCAGGAGTTCTCGACCAGCCTGGCCAACATGATGAAACCCCGTCTCTACTAAAAATACAAAAATTAGCCAGACCGCATGCCTGTAATCCCAGCTACTCGGGAGGCTGAGGCAGGAGAATCACTTGAACTCGGGAGGTGGAGCTTACAGTGAGCCAAGAAGCCAAGATTGCGCCACTGCACTCCAGCCTGGGTGACAGAGTGAGACTCCGTCTCAAAAAAATAAAATAAAATAAAAAAATAACTGGGCCGCATAATAGGAGATAAATGGCAGGCAAGCAAGCATTACCGTCTACATTCCTCCTCCTGTCAGAACAGTGGTGGCATCAGATTCTCATAGAAGCACAAATCCTATTGTGAACGGCGCATGCTAGGGACCTAGGTTGAACGCTCCTTATGAGAATTTAATGCCTGATGATCTCAGGTAGAACAGTTTCATCCTGAAACCATCCCCACCCCCACTTCCCATGGAAAAACTGTCTTCCAGGAAACCAGTCCCTGGTGCCAAAAAGACTGGGGACCGCTGCCCTAGAGACTCTGGTAATTAAAAGTGTTGTGGCTGAGATACAGTATGGGGTGAGATACTTACCAGCTAGGGAAAGATATTTACTAAACAGGAATATCCAGCTTAATATGGTGATGAATTGCTCAGTTTATTCCACCTCTTGTTGATTTCTTCATGATATTGGCTTAGGGCAGAGATGGCACATACATGGCAACATCCTTGACTCCCTTCCATCTCCCTAGAAAACAACATGGCAGACATCACAATGTTACCGGGGGTCCTTGCTCCCAGAGCTCCCAACATGGTGGCGGGTTGCTTCCAAGATGGCAGCAAGCCTCTCGTTCTCTGACCTGGGGTTCTTGGCCCCACGGATTCCAAGGAATGGAATCTTGGGCCATGCGGTGAATGTTATAGCTCTATTGGAAGACGTGGGTCATGGAAGAGAACCGTAGAACCCAGCGACTAGTGTTCATCTCAATTAGGACGAACCCAGGCACTTGCCGTGCAGGAACAACGGCAAGCCTTCAGCCCGATCGGGAGCAGCAGTGGGCGCCTCGCTGGATCAGGAGCACAGCAGACACCCTGCCAGATCCGGAGGGGTGGAAGTCAGCGGCGGGTCTGCGACTGCGGCAAACAGCAGTGGTGGACAACGAGCGAAAGCTTAGCTTGAGCGGTAACAAACACGGTACAAACACGGACCAGAAGAGTATGCAGTTACAAGATTTAATAGAGTGAAAACACAGCTCCCATACAAAGGGAGGGGAGCCAAAGAGGGTAGCCGTTGCCGGCTGGAATGCCTGGCTTTATATCCTGATCATTGTCCCTCCCACTGTGCTCTCAGGCAATAGATGATTGGTTAGTTCTTTACCTCCTGTTTTTGTCTGATTGGCATTTTAGTGAGCTCTCTTTACTACCTGATTGGTCGGGTGTGAGCTAAGTTGCAAGCCCCATGTTTAAAGGTGGATGCGGTCACCTTCCTAACTAGGCCTAGGGATTCTTAGTCGGCCTAGGAAATCCAGCTAGTCCTGTCTCTCAACAGTACATACTCTTTTCCAGTAAACTCTAGCCCCAGAGTCATTTTTGACACAGTTCTCCAGGCAGCCACCATCAATCGGTTGGAAGTGGGGATCGAAATAAGGTTGGGGATTCTCCCTGGCTCACAGTTTTACTGTTAGTATCTTCTGAATGCAAGGAACAGGGCATCTTTTTTAAAAAGAGGATTTAGGCCAGGCACGGTGGCTCATGCCTGTAATCCTAGCATTTTGGTAGGCCAAGGCAGGCGGATTGCCTGAGCTCAGGAGTTGGAGACCATCCTGGCAACATGACGAAACCCCATCTCTATAAAAAATACAAAAAAACTTAGCCGGGCATCGTGGTGCCTGCCTGTAGTCCCAATTACTTGGGAAGCTGAGGCACAAAAATTACTTGAACCTGGGAGGTGGAGGTTGCAGTGAGCCAAGATAGCACCACTGCACTCAAGCCTGGGTGACAGAGTGAGACTCTGTCTCCAAAAAAAACATAATAAAATAAATAAATAAATAAAAAGATGATTTAAGGATACATGTAGATTAAAATCAGAAAGTTGTTCAGGATTCAAGTCAAGTCAGGGCCTGGATTCTCTCCCTATGGCCTCCCTGTGCTACCTCTCACAGCTATCTGTGACTATGTTTTTAAGGTGCCCCATTTTCCTTTCATTTCCAACTGGCCAGTCCTCTCCGTATTCCCCAGTCCAGATGTTTCAGAGAGCTACTTTAACATGCACATTAGCTAATTACCATTGTCACTATTAGCTAGCCACAGGCTTGGTGCCAGGTTTTTTCATGGGTCATGAATAGGCAGCTCTTGAGGAGGCAGCCTATGGGCACAGGTGATATTTTCTCTCTTTCATTTAGTGACGGTTTTTACTTTATGAAAATTTGAAATTCAACTGTGCTGCTTAGGTATTTATTAACACTTCAATAAAAACTTTAGGAAAAATTTGTGCCAAATAATGTCCTTTTCTTTTTTGAAAGCCTCACTAAACTAATACATCAGGAGAATGCCATAGAGATTAGACCTTGATTTTAAAGAAGATGTCTTTTAAAATCTCTTAAGACCTTGATGTGAGCCATTCAGAGAGATGTGGGCTGGATAATAGAAGAGTTATGTGAACTCTTAACTAATGGAACAACTTAACCAAAAAATGATGACTGTAGGTCGGGCGCGGTGGCTCATACCTGTAATCCGGGCCCTGGCCGAGGCGGGCAGATCATTTGAGGTCAGAATTTTGAGACCAGCCTGGCCAACATGGTGAAACCCCATCTCTACTAAAAATACAAAAATTAGCCGGGCGCGGTGACACATGTCTGTAATCCCAGCTCCTCGGGAGGCTGAGGCAGGAGAATTGCTTGAACCCGGGAGGCAGAGGTTGCAGTGAGCCGAGATGACGCCATTGCACTCCAGCCTGGGCAAGAGTGAAACCCTGTCTCAAAAAAAAAAAAAAGTGATGGCTGAGATGAACCTTGAGATAGGTTTCTGTTATAAAGTGCAATGCTCTAGTTAGTATAGAGAGGAAACACTGGGTGGTAGTAGCTAAGCAAGTGGGATCAAGGGCTGGGCTCTTCTGTTTAACAGCTGTGCAACCTCAGGCAACTTCGCCTTCTGTATTTTGGTCTTTTTGTCTGTAAAGTAGGGGGTATATACAGAATTTACATCTTAATGTTGTTATGAGTACTGATGAATATAGATACAATGTTTAGAATAGTTTAGGCTATTTTAGTTTAGAAATGTTTAGGCTACGAAATACACGGGTAGAATTTACAGAGAGGCAGAGTACTTTAAAATAATTAAATCACCAAATAAAATAAGACAAGTCTGTTACAAGAAATGTTCCCAAAGTGGCCAGATAAGCATCTGTCAGGGGTGCTGTAGGAAGGTCTCCCACTCTGATGAGAAGGTTAGATTAGAGGATCTCTTAAAGCCTAGGAGTCATTGATAGCCTAGTTATGCCCTGAATGCTTGAAGTTATATTTATGCTTATGGAGTAATCTCTAGAAAAATCTGATTTTATTATACTACAAAGCCATAAGTAATTTTTTTGCAACTTGTAGAGTTCTCAGACTAAAGTCAAATGAAACCAAATCATACAAACCAAACTTAACTAGTGACGATTTTTGGTATGTCAATTCACAATGTTAAACAGTAAAGTAACAGAAATCCAGAAATGTAATATTATTTACCCATAGGAAAGTGATCTCAAAAAGCCAAGAGAAAATGCCTCCTAAGGGTCCTTGCTGCAATTTGATCTCAAGAAAGCAGAGAAGAAAATTCTAAAAAGATTATTTCATTTAAGGTTAAATGATTATGGAAATATAAAATTCTCAGTGTTGGTCAAACACAAAACTTGCAGGTGGCTTAGAAAGTGCATACAATTCTCAAAATGTATTCCCTACCGTTAAAGGTATTTATATTTATAGTTATATTTTTCTAGCTATATTAAGCATTATTTTTAAAACACATTACAGTAAAATACACATAAAAGGTACATATATATTACGTATATAATTTGAGTTTTTACAAACTAAACACACCTATGTAATCAGCACCCAGATTTTAAATTGTTTTTGAAGTTAATTTTTCTTACCTTTCAGGAAGAAAAATTTAACGTTCTATTCTGCATATTTGGAGGTACACTATGTAACTTTAAAAGCAACATACCCATCTTGACTTCAAGTGACTTTCTTTTTTTTTTTTTTTTGAGATTGAGTCTCGCTCTGTTGCCCAGGCTGGAGTGCAGTGGCGCGATCTCCGCTCACTGCAAGCTCCGCCTCCCGGGTTCACGCCATTCTCCTGCCTCAGCCTCCCGCGTAGCTGGGACTACAGGCGCCTGCCACCACACTCGGCTAATTTTTTTTGTATTTTTAGTAGAGACGGGTTTTCACAAGTGTTCGCCAGGATGGTCTTGATCTCCTGACCTCGTGATCCACCCGCCTCGGCCTCCCAAAGTGCTGGGATTACAAGCTTGAGCCACCACGCCTGACCTGACTTCAAGTGACTTTCAATACCTCTTGTGGTAGGCAGAATAAATAGCTCCCCAAAGATATCCACATCTTTTTTTTTTTTTTTTTGAGACGGAGTCTCACTCTGTCGCCCAGGCTGGAGTGCAGTGGCACGATCTCGGCTCACTGCAACCTCTGCCTCCTGGGTTCCATTTATTCTCCTGCCTCGGCCTCCCAAGTAGCCGGGACTACAGGCGTGCGCCACCATCCCCGGCTAATTTTGCTTTAGTAGAGACGGGGTGTCACCATGTTGGCCAGGCTGGTCTCGATCTCCTGACGTCGTGATCCGCCCACCTCAGCCTCCCAAAGTGCTGGGATTACAGGAGTGAGCCACCGTGCCTGGCCTAGATATCCACATCTTAATCCCTGAACCTGTGACCATGTTTCCTTACTTGGCAAGAGGGACTTTGCAGATGTGACCAGGACTTTGAGAGGGAAAATTATCTTGGACTATTGAGTGGACCCAATGTAATCACCGGGGTCTTTTTAAGTGAGAGAGGAAGGCAGTAGAGTCACAAAAGATGTGGCAAGGGAGGCAGAAGTCAGAGGTGCCATGTGCCAAGGAATGTGGGCAGCCTCTAGAATCTGGAAGGGGGAAGAAAATGAATTCTCCCTGGCAGCCTCCAGTAGGAAGGCAACCCAACTGACACCTTGATTTTGGTCCCTTGAAACCCATTTTGGATCCTTAACGTCCAAAACTGTAGGATAATACATTTGTGGGTTTTTTTTTTTTTTTTTTTTTTTTTTTTTTTTGAGATAGAGTCTCGCTCTGTTGCCCAGGCTGGAGTGCAGTGGTGCGATCTCGGCTCACTGCAAGCTCCGCCTCCCAGGTTCACGCCATTCTCCTGCCTCAGCCTCCCGAGTAGCTGGGACTACAGGCGCCCGCCACCACGCCCGGCTAATGTTTTGTATTTTTAGTAGAGATGGGGTTTCACCATGTTAGCCAGGATGGTCTCGATCTCCTCACCTTGTGATCCGCCCGCCTCGGCCTCCCAAAGTGCTAGGATTACAGGCGTGAGCCACCGCGCCTGGCCAATTTGTGTTGTTTTAAAGACCCTAATTTTGTGGTAATTTGTTACAGCATATGTGAAACTAATACACCATTTATAGTCTGGTGAGTCTGTCTTCAGATTCATATATCTCACTGCACATTTAATAGCTTCATGTGGCTCACAGGCATCTCAATCATAACATGCCCTAAATTAAAACTTTACTTTTTTCTTCCCAAACCAGGTCACTCTCCCAGCCTTTCTCATCTTAGCACACAACCAACCACCCAATTCCTAATGGCAGAAACCTGGAAGTCATTTCTTTCTTTCTTTCTTTTTTTTTTTTTTTTTAAGAGATGAGGTCTCGATCCAGCACCCAGGCTGGAGTGCAGTGGTTTGATCGAGCTCACTGTTGCCTGGAACTCCTGAGCACAAGCGATCCTCCCACCTCTGCCTTCCAAAGTGCTGGGACTGCAGGTGTGAGCCACCACACCTGGCCCGGAGGTCATTCTTGAGTCTTTTTCCCTGTCATCCCCTTATATCTAACCTATAATTAAGTCTCATCAATTTTACTTCCAAAATAAACATCATATCCATCCACTTCAGTTGAGTTTCACTGCTACCAATCCATTCTCCACAGAGCAGCCAGTGTGATTTAAAAAAGAAATCTGGGCCTGGTGTGGTGGCTCATGTCTGTAATCCTAGCACTTTGGGAGGCCAAAGTGGGCGGATCACCTAAGGTCGGGAGTTTGAGACCAGTCTGGCCAACATGGTGAAACCCCCGTCTCTACTAAAAATACAAAAATTAGCCGGGCATGGTGGTGTGTGCCTGTAATCCCAGCTACTCGGGAGGCTAAGGCAGGAGAATTGCTTGAACCTGGGAGGTGGAGGTTTCAGTGAGCTGAGATCGTACCACTGTACTCCAGCCTGGGCGATAGAGTGGGACCCTGTCTCAAAAACAAACAAACAAACAAAAAAGAAATCTGATAGCACTTCCTTGCAAAAATCCCTTAATGTCTTTTCTTTTGTGGCTAATGTGACCTTTTCGTGGCTCCAAGCTAGCCACAGGAGAACTAAGAGTTCATAAGTATTTTACAAATTAGAGCTTCATTATTAATTGAAATGCATCACAAACTGCAGTTTGATGAGATTTGAAATTTGCTGTACAGCAAGAAATCTCAATGAACTGTTAGACTTAGTTTCACCTGTGGTAAATTTTTAATGGTTGTAAAAAAAAAAAGATGTTAATATTTTGTATCATCAACTTCATTCAAAGTTTCTTGTCAATGGTGACTCAGGAATCTGTTGCCCAGGTTGGTCTCGAACTCCTGGCCTCAAGCTAGCCTTCTCACTTGGCTTCCTAAAATGCTGGGAGTGACTCAGAAATTTGAAAGGGTCATTAAAAAGTCTTAAAGCCTGATTCGGTGGCATGGTCCTGTAGTCCCAGCTACTCAGAAGGCTGAAGCCAGAAAAGATGGCTTGAGGCCAGGAGCTCGAGTGCTGCCTGGACAACATAGTGAGACCCTTGTCTCAAAAACAACAGCAACCCAAAGTCTTATTTATCTTCAGGAGCTGCGCAAGCCCTTTACCACCGCCACGTTTCTCCCTGGATGTCCCTAGGCCTCGGGACTGGCTGGGAGTTCCCTGTAGTGGAGGCCGCCGCTGAACTGATTATAAAGATGAGAGAGGCTCTGCCATGCCTTGGTCATCAATTCACACTCCACCAGTGTCTTCTAGCAGTCACGGCAAGGGTTAACGTCAGGGACCGCTGTGGGGTGGCCGCGCTACACGACAGTATAGTTGCGGTCCTGGTTTATGAAATAACTGAGGGAACAAGAGGCGCAAGAAATCCCTCCTTGGGTGCAAGACCAAAACAACTACCCAGCGGGAAGACTCGGGCTTCAGTGCGTGTGTCGCCAGTGGAGGAGGACGCTTCGGGGCGGGAGCACAAGCTGGCAGGACAGCCCCGCAGCAGCTCCAGCGCGGCAGAGGCCATGGAAGATGGTCCGCTGGTCAGCACCCTGCCTGCGCCTCAAAATACCGCCGGGAAGGTGGGGGACGGGGACGGGAGCAGCCAATCACGCGAGCTCTCTCGGGTGGCGTCAGGGCGCGATCGCGGATTCGGCACTCCGGGTGGGCGTGGCTGGGCGAGCGAGGAGTGGGGACAAGGTCGAGCGACGAGTCGTCTACCCGCGCGCCCGAGCGCGGAAACCGAGGGGCAGGCTCGCGCTCTGCCTGCTTCGTGGCGCTTGGTTCGTCCCTCGCCCGAGGAGCGCGGTGGCGGCGTGGGAGGGAGCCTCTGACGGCGTCTGGTGAGAGCCGCGCGGCGGCGTGGGACTCCGGGAGAGCATCCTGCCCACCCCCAGGGCCGCCTCCCCCGGCCTCCTGCCCCAGGCCTCCCCTCCCCGGCCGCTTTCCACCCCACCGCGCCCCGAGGCCCACACTGGACCCGGCTCTCGCCCAATGTCCTGCAGGCCTCACCATAGGGCACCTCTTTGGCCCAATTCAGGGCTCCGCCGTGTGGCTCGGGGTGGGCCCTGATGAGCAGGGGAGGGGATGTAGAGGGAGGCCCAGGTTGACTTGTCCCCTGGAACAGTGCTGTCCAATCAGGGGGGATGCTGACTGTCCCGTTAGGAGCGGGGCGGGGCGAGAGAGGGTGGAGAACTGCCTGGCAGGCGAGCTGTCCTGGCGTGAAAAGGCTGGGCTAAAAGGTCCCCTCCCTGCTCTGAGTCTACATTCTGAGTCTGGGCTTCCTTGTATATTTGAGAAACGTTAATTCCCCGCCCTCACCCCAATTTTTTTTTTTTTTTTTTTTTTTTTTTTTTTTTTTGAGACTGAGTCTCGCTCTGTCGCCCAGGCTGGAGTGCAGTGGCGCGATCTCGGCTCACTGCAAGCTCCGCCTCCCAGGTTCACGCCATTCTCCTGCCTCAGCCTCCCGAGTAGCTGGGACTACAGGCGCCCACCACCACGCCCGGCTAATTTTTTGTATTTTTAGTAGAGACGGGGTTTCACCATGTTAGCCAGGATGGTCTCGATCTCCTGACCTCGTGATCCGCCCACCTCGGCCTCCCAAAGTGCTGGGATTACAGGCGTGAGCCACCGCGCCCGGCCCCTCCCCCCAGTTTTACGCTTGTAAAATTGTTAGAACACAAGAACGTATTTTTTACTACTCTGGTAGGAGGGGTGGGGTACAGTTTCGCAGTATAGGTAACTCGTTAACCCAACTGTAGGAGCGCCGCAGTTGAAGCCAAACCGAATTATAGCGTCGGAATGGGGCCCTGACTTTCAGACAGCTTTATATAGCTCTTTCCTTCTTATTCCTTTGAGTCCCATCCTCATTGCACTGATGAAAGGGCGATTTATCATGTTTTCGAGGAAGATTTGTACTCATGGATGTTTATGGAATGAACAGACACAAGGCAAACACTGGGTGTGGGACAGTGTTCTGAGCGCTGAAGTCATTCAGACAAGGGTTTGATTTTCGGTTCTCTCAATGATGAACTTGGGTTCAAGTAATTCTCCTGCCTCAGCCTCCCAAGTAGCTGGGATTACAGGCGCCTGCCACCATGCTCGGTTAATTTTTGTATTTTTAGTAGAGACGGGGTTTCACCATGTTGGTCAGGCTGGACTTGAACAGACATCAAGTGATCCGCCCATCTCGGCTTCCCAAAGTGCTGGGGTTACAGGCGTCAGCCACCGCGCCTGGCCAATGATGAACTATTAAACAGTGATTTGGGGCAAGTAAATTATTTTCTCTGTGCTTCCTGTCTGTAAAACGCGGCTAATACGAGGGCTGTGAGGATGAAATGAGTTAATACATGTGAAGAAACCTATTAGCACAATGTTTGGCACTTCAGAAGCGCTCAGCAAATGTTTACTGTTGTTTCCTCTGTTCAGTGACTGCTTGACCCAAGTGTTCATTATTTTTATTTGATAGCCTTAAAAATATTCTCTTCACAAAGAACTCTTTCCACGGTTGAGTGGGGCATTATTTTTCTGGAAAGGGTTAATCACCTTTTGTCAGCATTTATAATGGACGGTCTTGAGTTGAGAGAATGCAGAAAGTAGTCTTTAAGAATTTGGGTTTCTGCCGGGCGTGGTGGCTCACGCTTGTAATCCCAGCACTTTGGGAGGCCAATGCAGGCGGATCACCTGAGGTCAGGAGTTCAAGACCAGCCTGGCCAACATGATGAAACCTCATCTCTACTAAAAATACAAAAATTAGCTCGATGTGGTGGCAGGCGCCTGTGATCCCAGCTACTCAGGAGGCTGAGATAGGAGTATCGCTTGAACCCAGGAAGCGGAGGTTGCAGTGAGCCGAGATTGCACCACTGCACTCCAGCCTGGGCGACAGGCTGTCTGTCTCAAAAAAAAAAAAAAAAAAAAAAAAAAAGAATTGGGTTTCTCTGGCTGGGTATGGTGGCTCATGCCTGTAATCCAAGCACTTTGGGAGGCCAGGCGGCGGATCACCTGAGGTCAGGAGATCGAGACCAGCCTGGCCAACATGGTGAAACCCCACCTCTACTAAAAATACAAAAAAATTAGCTGGGCATGGTGTCACATGCCTGTAATCCCAGCTACTTGGGAGGCTGAGGCAGGAGAATCGCTTCAACCTGGGAGGTGGAGGTTGCAGTGAGCTGAGATCATGTCACTGCACTCCAGCCTGGGCAACAGAGTGAGACCCTGTCTCAAAAACAAAAACAAACAAGAATTGGGTTTTTCAGCGATTGCCAGTGAGTTCAAGATGAAGGCAAACTTGTCCGAAAACTATCATCTATCTGTCTAACATCTATCATCCATCCATCTGTCACCTATTATTTGTTTTTCTGTCTTTCTTTTGGTGGCTCAGGTACAATTATAGAATTGAAGAGTGAAATGGATGCAAGTATTCAGTCCCACCTTCTGACTTTCTGAGCTCTGTGCTGGACAATGCACCTACTTCATAATGTTCATTTAAAAGATTGCTTGTTTTTATTTTTTTATTTAAATTTTAATTTTTTAAAGATAGGGTCTCACTCTGTCACCCAGGCTGGAGTGCAGTGGTCCTTTTCCAATTCGTACTATAGTTTCTTTCAGGGAAAAGAATTATATAGCTGGGGAACACATATGAGAAGACTTTTTGCTATTTAGCCTCTTGTGGCTTTTAATTTACATTTTTAATTTTTGTGAGGCAAGGCCAAGGCAGATGACTTGAGGTCAAGAGTTCGAGAACAGCCTGGTTTAGTTGAAACCGCGTCTCAACTAAAAAAATACAAAAATTAGCCAGGCATGGTGGCGTGCGCCTGTAATCCCAGCTACTTGGGAGGCTGAGGCAGGAGAATTGATTGAACCCGGGAGGTGGAGGTTACAGTGAGCTGAGGTCGCACCACTGCACTCCAGCCTGGGCAACAGAGTGACACTCCGTCTCAAGAAAAAAGAAAAATACTGTGAGGCAAAACAAATCATTCATGGTTTGTCAATTTATATTTATTTTACAAAGAACAGTAAATGTTCCATCTGGCAGTACTAAAATGCCTCGTACTTACCAGTTACTCAAAGGTTATTCTACCTAAACTGAGAGCAAGCTGGCCATATGAGTAAACTGAAAAATAGAACAATGTTACCTAAGGCCAGGTTTATAGACAAGCTTGCCTTCATCTTGAACTCACTGGCAATCTGAGAAACCCAATTATTTTTTTTTGAGATGGAATCTCACTCTTGTTGCCCAGGCTGGAGTGCAGTGGCAGGATCTCGGCTCACTGCAACCTCCGCCTCCCGGGTTCAAGTGATTCTCCTGCCTCAGCCTCCCCAGTAGCTGGGATTACAGGCGCCTGCCACCATGCCTGGCTAATTTTTGTATTTTTAGTAGAGATGGGGTTTTGCCATGTTAGCCAGGCAGGTCTTGAACTCCTGGCCTCAGGTGATCCGCCCGCCTCGTCCTCCCAAAGTGCTGGGATTACAGGCGTGAGCCACTGCGCCCGGCCGAAACTCAATTCTTGAAAGCAGCTTTTTGCATTCTCTCAACTCAAGACTGTCCATTGTAAGTACTGATGAAAAGTGATTGCCTCCTTACAAAAGGAAATTTACTTGCCCCAGGCTGGATTTAAATTTTAATTTTTTTAAAGATAGGGTCTTGCTCAGTCTTTCAGGCTGGAGTGCGGTGGCATGATCATAACTCACTACAGCCTCAAACTCCTGGGCTAAAGTGATCTTCCTGCCTCAGCCTCCCAAATAGCTAGGACCGCAGGTGTGCACAACCACACTCAGCTAATTAAAAAAAATTTGTTTGTAGAGACAGGAGTCTTGCTATGTTGCCCAGGCTGGTCTTGAACTCCTGACTTCAAGGAGTCCTTCTTGCCTCAGCCTCCCAAAGTGCTGGGATTACAGGCATGAGCCACCATGTCCAGCCAGATTTCTTGTTTTTATTTATTTATTTATTTATTTATTTTGAGACAAAGTCTCACTCTTTTGCCCAGGCTGGAGTGCAGTGGTGCGATCTCAGCTCACTGCAACCTCTGCCTCCTGGGTTCAAGCGATTCTTGTGCCTCAGCCTCCCAAGCAGCTGGGATTACAGGCACGCGCTACCATGCCTGGCTAATTTTTCTTTTTCTTTTTTTGAAATGGAGTCTCGATCAGTCTCCCAGGCTGGAATGCAATGGTGTAATCTCGGCTCACTGCAACCTCCGCCTCCCAGGTTCAAGCAACTCTCCTGCCACAGCCTCCTCAGTGCTGGGATTGCAGGTGCACGCCACCACACCCTGCTAAGTTTTGTATTTTTAGTAGAGATGGGGTTTCACCATGTTGGCCAGGCTGGTCTCCAACTCGTGACCTCAGGTGATCCGCCCACCTCAGCCTCCCAAAGTGCTGGGATTACAGGCATGAGCCACTGTGCCCAGCCAAAGTTGAATGTTTTTGCTAAATTTTAGGGCTCTTATAACTCTTTGTATATTTGAAAAGCTGATGGCCAGCAATTTCCAAAATTTTGCACTTTTAGATTTGATATTTCCAATATCTTTAAATGTTCTCATTCTACCATTTGAGTCATAATTAAAAGCATTTTAAAAAGTAAGATTTGTGGCTGGGCGCGGTGGCTCATGCCTGTAATCCTAGCACGTTGGGAGGCCGAGGTGGGTGGATCATGTGAGGTCAGGAGTTTGAGACTGGCCTGGACAACATGGTGAAACCCCGTCTCTGCTAAAAATACAAAAAAATTTGGTGGGTGTGGTGGCGGGCACCTGTAATCCCAGCTACTCAGGAGGCTGAGGCACAAGAATCTCTTGAACTGGGGAGGTGGAAGTTGCAGTGAGCCAAGGTCATGTCACTGCACTCTAGCCTGGGCAACAGAGGGAGACTGTATTTTAAAAAAAAAAAAAAGTAAGCTTTGCCCCAACAGTTTATAGAATATGTTACCAATTTTGTAATATACGTTGTGTATGTGTGTATGTATACACATACATACATCATATATATACACATCATATATATATATATTTAGATAGAGACTTATTCTGTTGCCCAGGTTGGAGTGCAGTGGCACCATCTTGGCTCACCGCAAGCTCCGCCTCATGTGTTCAAGTGATTCTCCTGCCTCAGCCTCCCAAGTAGCTGGGACTATAGGTGTGTGCCACAACACCTGGCTAATTTTTTTTGTATGTTTAGTAGAGATGGGGTTTCACCATGTTGGCCAGGCTGTTCTTGAATTCCTGACCTCTCGTGATCCACCCAGCTCGGCCTCCCAAAGTGTTGGGATTACAGGCGTGAGCCATATATTTATTTATATTATCATAGTTTATCCATGGAAGGACAGATAGGAAACCAGTAACTGCTTCCAGGGAAAAGAACTAGCTAGCTGGGGAACACAGATGAAAAGACTTATTGCTACTTAACCTCTTGTGACTTTTCAATTTTAAACCATGTGAATATACTACCTGATCAAAAATTTAGTTAATTAAAATTATTTTTTAAAACCTCCCCTTAAAAAGGCATTTTACCTTAATTTTATTTTTAAGATTTAACTTCTTTCCTTGAAAAAGCTTTGACTTTTTAAGGTTTTTTAGGTTTCTAGGTAACATTGTTGTATTTTTCACCATTTATTTATATGGCCAGCTTGCTCTCAGTTTAGGTAGAATAACCTTTGAGTAACCTGGTAAATAAGCATTTTAGTACTGCCAGATGGAACATTTACTGTTCTTTGTAAAATAAATACAAATTGACAAACCATGAATGATTTGTTTTGCCTCAGCAAATTAAATATTACCAACAATTTTTTCAGCTCAAATTTGATCACTGGAAGAAGGATTATATACAAGAACACTTACGACAACCATTTTTGGAAGAATATTTTTGTCTCTTTAAAGATTAGATAGTGCGGCCACGTGCGGTGGCTCATGCCTGTAATCCCAGCACTTTGGGAGGCCGAGGCGGGTGGATCATGAGGTCAGGAGTTCGAGACCAGTCTGGCTAGCATGGTGAAACCCCATGTCTACTAAAAATAGAAAAAATTAGCCCAGCATGGTGGCACATGCATGTAATCCCAGCTACTCGGGAGGCTGAGGCAGGAGAATTGCTTGAACCCAGGAGGCGGAGGTCGCAGTGAGCCGAGATTGCACCACTGCACTCCAGCCTGGGTGGCAGAGCAAGACTCTGTCTCAAAAAAAAAAAAAAAAAGATCAGATAGTGCTTGGGTCTTCTGAATATAACTCTCTTGGTGGAATGCCCGTTTCGTTATATTGTAAGTGTTTGCCATTGGGTGAAATTAGCTTTTACTGGGGATTATAAATTCAGAGTGGACCTAATGATGGGACCGTTTGCATGGTCACAGAATTTTAGCCTAAGAGAGTGTTGAGGTACCAACAGCAGAGGGCTACTGATGGAATTTCCAGTGAATTTCAGAGTTTACCCTCATCTAAAGGATGGCACCCCTAGAATTGGAATCCTTACTGAAGTGTCTCTGGATTCCTGATTACAAGTTCTAAATATTGATACACTTACTGAAACATGAACATTGAGATCAGAGTCCATGAGGTGAAATTTTATGTTGATTTAGAGAAGTTTAACATGTTCCAAGTCTGGCTCAGTGGTGTATGCCTGTAGTTCCAGCTACTTAGGAGGCTGAGGTGGGGGGGTTGCTTGAGCCCAGGAGTTCCAGGCTGCAATGAGCTATGATCGTGCTTGTGAATAGCTACTGCACTCTAGCTTGGGCAACATAGCAAGATCCCATCTCCAAAAATGTAAAAACTTTTTAAAAAATTCCATAAAACAAATCTCTTATTCCTTGCCCCTGATTTTACTTTTTGAATGGAGGGTATAGCATGGCAGGGAGGGATGAGCGAGCAGTGGAGCTGAGCAACAGTATATCTGTGAATGGGAGGGCCATAACGCTCAGAGCGAGGCAGCAACTGAGAAACGTGGGGGAGGAGGACCTGAGGTTTGTGTGAAGCCTTTCCAGAAAGGATGACACTTAGATGGAGTTTTGAAGGATGAGTAGAAGACCAGCAAGGAGGAAAGGAAGTTTTAGGAAAAAGTAGGTGGCATCTATAAAGGTATAGATATACGGAGATTCACTAGTTGAACTGGAGGCAGTTTGGTATGGCTGGCACTTTGGCACAGAGAAGGGTAATTTTAGGCAGGGAAGAGATGGTGGAAAGGAAGATCACTTTGAAAGTTTGTAGGAGGCCGGGCGCAATGGCTCTTGCCTGTAATCCCAGCACTTTGGGAGGCCGAGGTGGGTGGATCACTTGAGGCCAGGAGTTCAAGACCAGCCTGGCCAACATGGCAAAACCCCATCTCTACTAAAAATACAAAAATTAGCTGGGCATGGTGGTGGGCACCTATAATCCCAGCTACTCGGGAGGCTGAGGCAGGAGAATTGCTTGAATCTGGGAGGCGGAGGTAGTAGTGAGCCAAGCTCGTGCCACTGCACTCCAACCTGGGCGACAGAGTGAGACTTTGTCTCTAAATAAATAAGTAAGAAAGTTTATAGGAGACAGGCAAACCACTTGACAGCTGTTAAGATCGTCCAGACCTAAAATGAGGGACTGGACTAGGGGAAGTCCTTGTATGGATGAAGAGGAGGAGATAGATTTGAAAGATATTTAGGGGGTGGAATTGACAGCATTTTGGAGATATGGGGTGAAGAACAGAAAAGACAAGGATTTGAAGGCATTTGGATGAATGAAATTGCATAACTCAGAGAACAATTGAGGAGGAACAGCTTCCGAAAAGAAAATGAGTTCAGTTTGGGACACTGACTTTAAGGTGTTTATAGGACATACAGCAGGAGATATCTGATAGGCATTTGGAGTTGTCAGTTTTGTTGGCACTGGTGTGTAGGTACTAATGAGGGCTTGAAGGTCAGGTTTTTATCTTACTCATCTTTCTCCTGCCCAGCATTAATCACAATACCTTGTATTTAGGAAGTGTATAGTGTGAGAGTGAATAGCCTGTGTTCCTTATGAGACATGATCTGGAATGTTGGGGCAGTAATTTTCCCTCTCAAGACCTGTGTTTCCCTTTCTATAAAGTGATGGAGTTGAACTAGATCAGTGGTTCTCAACAACTGATTTTGCAACAACCTACTATGTTGGGCTCATCTGTGAGTTATGGCAAGTAATTTTTAATAATAAAGAGCTGATATTTCCTCACCTTTTAAACAAGAGCTGATTTATATCACTCCTTCTTAATGGCATTCCAGTGTGTTTTCTTGAGTGTGAGAGGATGGGGTGGTGTTACAGTTAGTTTGCTGGAGTTTCTTCTTCTTTTTTTTTTTTTGAGATGGAGTCTCGCTCTGTCACCCAGGCTGGAGTGTGGTGGTGCGATCTCAGCTCACTGCAAGCTCCGCCTCCTGGGTTCACGCCATTCTTCTGCCTCAACCTCCCGAGTAGCTGGGACTACAGGTACCCGCCACCACGCCCAGCTAATTTTTTTTTTTGTATTTTTTAGTAGAGACGGGGTTTCACCACGTTAGCCAGGATGGTCTTGATCTCCTGACCTCGTGATCTGCCCACCTCGGCCTCCCAAAGTGCTGGGATTACAGGCGTAAGCCACCACTCCCAGCCTTGGAGTTTCTTAACTCTGGATATACCAATGGGAGAGTCACACATAAGTGGAGGTGCAAAAAAAGATTAAGAATCACTGTACTAAATAGTGGTTAAGGACTTGAAACTGAAAATTTCTATTTCTGATTTAGAGAAGTTTAAAGTTTAGTTATATCTAGGAGTTATTCTGATTATAAAGTTTTTATTTTGGCAATTTCAGGAACTCTATTTTAAGAACCTCTCAAAACGAAACAAGCAAATCATGGAGAAGAATGGAAATAACCGAAAGCTGCGGGTTTGTGTTGCTACTTGTAACCGTGCAGATTATTCTAAACTTGCCCCGATCATGTTTGGCATTAAAACCGAACCTGAGTTCTTTGAACTTGATGTTGTGGTACTTGGCTCTCACCTGATAGATGACTATGGGTAAGATGAAAGCATTTTCTTATTCTTCATTGCAACAGTGTGCTAGAAGGAGCTTGGGTTTTGTAGCCATATGGGCCCAGCTTCAAATTCCTGTTCTGCTGCTTAGTTTTTATGTGGCCTTAGAGTAGTCACTTAGCATCTCTGAGCCTCAGTTTCCTCATTATATAATGTAGTGAAAACTTATATTGTAAATTATTGTGAGGAATGGAGATCATGATATAGAGCATCCATCACAATGATGCCGCTTAGTAGATGATTGATAAATGGTAGCTATAAATAATATTACTGTTTGTTATTAGTTGTTACATTCAAACAAATGCCACTTATAAATACATATTGTATGAGTATAATAATGTGATTCCATGTAAACTGTTTTGTGAGCTGTAATGGCAATCTTTAAAACTGGTTTATAGGCCAACAGCATATAAAGTAGTAGATATGGAACAAGATTTTAAAAATCTAATCTGCAAGGTAAAGTAGAGAGTTACATTACTGTCACCATTGACATTTATTTTGCTGACATTAGGTTTGTTATTAATCACAGGCTACATTTAAAAAGTGAAAGTTGGGCCGGGCACGGTGGCACATGCCTATAATCCCAGCACTCTGGGGGGCTGAGGTGGGTGGATCACCTGAGGTCAGGAATTTGAGACCAGCCTGGCCAACATGGTGAAACCCTATCTCTACGAAAAATACAAAAAAAAAAAAAATTAGCCAGTTGTGGTGGCGCATGCCCGTAGTCCTAGCTACTCGGGAGGCTGAGGCAGGAGAATCACTTGAACCCGGGAGGCGGAGGTTGCAATGAGCTGAGATCACACCACTGCACTCCAGCCTGGGCAACAAGAGTGAGACTCCGTCTCAAAAAAAAAAAAAGCAAAGGTTGAATAATCTGAGAGAACAAGGCGTATTACATACATCTTGATGTATGTAATAAAAAGTCATTTAGTGCACCCTTGTGGCATGAATATATTAATGCAGTCTCCAAAGAGGATCACAAATACAATACTGTATCTGAAAGAACCTTGCGTTAAAATAAAATTGTCCTTTTCAGACTATTCTTTAAAAACAAGGTGGGAATTCGCTACTAGGAAATACTTAAAGAGTAGAGAAGAAACTTAATGGATAGCTCAGGGATCCACAGATTTTTTTTTTTTTTTTTTTTTTTGAGACGGAGTTTTGCTCTTGTTGCCCAGGCTGGAGTGCAGTGGCGTGATCTCGGCTCACTGCAACTTCCACCTCCCGGGTTCAAGTGATTCTCCTGCCTTAGCCTTCCGAGTAGCTGGGATTACAGGCATGCGCCACCATGCCCGGCTAATTTTGTATTTTTAGTAGAGACGGGGTTTCTCCATGTTGGTCAGGCTGGTCTCAAACTCCCAACCTCAGGTGATCCACCTGCCTCCGCCTCCCAAAGTGCTGGGATTACAGGTGTGAGCCACTGCGTCCGTCCAGATTTTTTTTTAATATAAAATGAATTCTGGCTATTTAGGAGCATCCTCTCAGTAGAACAGAAATTTTAGCTAGAGCCTGAGATGAAAGTTTGAGTGGGTTCTTTTACTGCTCTGAGAAAGCTTTGACAGGAAGACTAGTGGAAGAGAGGCTCTCAGGGAAATGGTAGTAGGTTTTTTATCTGCCTACCACAGTTACCAAGGGTGGAAGAATAGTGTTTATCTGATGAGACCGTTAAATAGGAAATTTGACTAGTACTTAATGAAAATGCATGTTTAAGGTACATTCTAACACAAGAAATTGGTTGCTTCTTGGGAGAAGAATTGGATGACTGGGAGACAAAAGTGAGAGACTTTTCACCATGAAATGTTTTCTTAAAGAAAAAAGGTTTGGCCAGGCACGGTGGCTCACACCTGTAATCCCAGCACTTTGGGAGGACGAGGCGGGCGGATCACGAGGTCAAGAGATTGAGACCATCCTGGCCAACATGGTGAAACCCTGTCTCTACTAAAAATACAAAAATTAGCTGGGCGTGATGGCACACGCCTGTAGTCCCAGCTACTCGGGAGGCTGAGGCAGGAGAATCGCTTGAACCTGGGAGGTGGAGGTTGCAGTGAGTCAAGATCGCACCACTGCACCCCAGCCTGGGCGACAGAGCGAGACTCTGTCTCAAAAAAATAAAAAAAAGGGTAAAAAACATTTTCCCCTAAGTGTATATAAAAAGTGCTGACCACTGTTAAAAGTTTAGTCTCTTTCTTCCTAATAAAAAAATTCTCTGGCCGGGTGCAGTCGCTCACGCGTGTAATCCCAGCACTTTGGTAGGTCAAGGTGGGTGGATCACCTGAGGTCAGGAGTTCAAGACCAGCCTGGCCAACATGGCAAAACCCCATCTGTACTAAAAATAGAAAAATTAGCTGGGTGTGGTGGTACATGCCTGTAATCCCAGCTACGCAGGAGGCTGAGGCAGGAGAATCGCTTGAACCCGGGAGGCAGAAGTTGCAGTGAGCCTAGATCGCGCTACTGCACTCCAGCCTGGGCAACAGAGCAAGACTTCATCTCAAAAAAAAAAAAAAAAAAAAAAAAAAGAATCTTAATCAGGCTGTTTACACTTATGGTCTATGCTTTTTATGTTTGTAAGTTATACTTCAATTTATTTATTTTAATGTTTCTCACTTCAGAGTTGGTGTTAGATTGCTTTTCTTGCATGTTACGGCTCTGTGTTTAAGAACATGTTCTTATATCTTTATTTCTCCCCGGCTTTAGAAATACATATCGAATGATTGAACAAGATGACTTTGACATTAACACCAGGCTACACACAATTGTGAGGGGAGAAGATGAGGCAGCCATGGTGGAGTCAGTAGGCCTGGCCCTAGTGAAGCTGCCAGATGTCCTTAATCGCCTGAAGCCTGATATCATGATTGTTCATGGAGACAGGTTTGATGCCCTGGCTCTGGCCACATCTGCTGCCTTGATGAACATCCGAATCCTTCACATTGAAGGTGGGGAAGTCAGTGGGACCATTGATGACTCTATCAGACATGCCATAACAAAACTGGCTCATTATCATGTGTGCTGCACCCGCAGTGCAGAGCAGCACCTGATATCCATGTGTGAGGACCATGATCGCATCCTTTTGGCAGGCTGCCCTTCCTATGACAAACTTCTCTCAGCCAAGAACAAAGACTACATGAGCATCATTCGCATGTGGCTAGGTACGTATCTCAGACTTTAGTCAGTCTAATGGCTGTTTTTGTCAGAAAATGTTCCGTCTATTTCAATCCTTTTGGAAACTATTATGGATAGAATACTCTGTTAGCAATGAGAAGGCCAAGGTTTTAGTTCATAGACCTTGCCCTGTGGTATGACTTTACCTCTCTGAGGTTTACCTTTTCTGTAAAATAGGCTTAGTGGATTGAGTTTTAAAAATCTCTGCTATATTTATAGAATGGAATGCTTTTAATCCATTAAATATATTAGTTATAAGAACGATCCTAATATGTCAAAAGGGGGAGCTATAAAATTATAAGTGTAATATGCCATTTCATTTTATTTTATTTATTTTATTTTTTGAGATGGAGTCTTGCTCTGTTGCCTAGGCTGGAGTGCAGTGGTGTGATCTTGGCTCACTGCATCCTCTGCCTCCCAGGTTCAAGTGATGCTCCTGCCTCAGCCTCCCAAGTATGTGGGATTGCAAGCGTGGACCACCATGACCGGCTAATTTTTCTATTTTTAATTTCACCACGTTGGCCAGGCTGGTCTCGAACTCCTGACCTCAAGTGATCCGCCCACCTTGGGCTCCCAAAGTGCTGGGATTACAGGTGTGAGCCACTGCACCCAGCTGTAATCTGCCATTTTACTAAAAACTGTAATAATGGAATGGTTAGGAAGTATGTACACCAAGTCATTTATTATATTTATTTCTGGTGTGGGATTATGGGTGTTTTTATGTTTGATTTTCTGAATTTTTTTTTTGTTTTTTGAGACAGAGTCTTGCTCTGTCATCCAGGTTGGAGTGCAGTGGCACAATCTCGGCTCACTGCAACCTCCACCTCCCAGGTTCAAGCGATTCTCCTGCCTCAACCTCCCGAGTGGCTGGGATTACTATGCCTGGCTAATTTCATATTTTTAGTAAAGACAGGGTTTTTCCATGTTGGCCAGGCTGGTCTCGAACTCCTGACCTCAGGTGATCCGCCCACCTCAGCCTCCCAAAGTGCTGGGATTACAAGCGTGAGCCACCGTGCCTGGCCTGATTTTCTGAAATTTTTTACTACATTGGCAAAATGGTCATTTTTTTTTTTTTTTTGAGATGGAGTCTTACTCTGTTGCCTAGCCTGTAGTGCAGTGGCTCAGTCTCGGCTCACTGCAACCTCCACTTCCCGGGTTCAAGCGATTCTCCTGCCTCAGCCTCCTGAGTAGCTGGGGTTACAGGCGCACACCACCACACCTGGCTAATTTTTTTTTGTATTTTTAGTAGAGACGGGGTTTCACTATGTTGGTCAGGCTGGTCTCAAACTCCTGACCTCATAATCCGCCCACCTCGGCCTCCCAAAGTGCTGAGATTACAGGCATGAGCCACCGCGCCTGGCTCATTTTTATTTTTAATGCTTTTCTTATAGAATTGTTGGAATACTCAGATTATGAATGTTGGAAGCAGTAAGCCATAAGTACTTATTAATATAAGGGATTATGATGATTATTAAAAAGCAAAAGTCATAGTTGTAGCCTTAGAGTATATCTTTGTAAATAAGCCCTATGTTCCAAAATTTTTATTGTTCAGTGCTCTAGCTTCCTAGAAATTATCTTTTGCTAATCAGAGGTAAAAAAATCCAAGTTTACAAACAGAATGTCAGTTGGTTAATTTATAGTAAGAGTACTACCTAGGGGACAAATTAGGACTAATAATCTATTTAGGACCTTTCATTTCTAAGAGGCAGATCTATTGAATTATAAAATTAATGAACAGAAAATTGATTTGGTTGGGTCAGGTATGGTGGCTCACCCTGTAATCCCAGCACTTTGGGAGGCTGAAGTGGGAGTATTGCTTGAGCCTAGGAGTTACAAGGCCAGCCTGGGCAACATAGCAAGACGCTGTCTCTACAAAAAATAAGAAAATTAGCTGGGCGTGGTGCTGTGTGCATGTAGTCCTAGTTACCTGGGAGGCTGGGATGGGAGGGTCACTTGAGCCTGAGTAGTTGAGGCTACAGTGATCTGTGATTACACTGCTGCACTCTAGCCTGGGTGACAGAGTAAGACCCTGTCTCAAACAAAACAAAACAAAAAAAAACAAAAAACAATAACAAAAAAAAAACACAGAAAGAAAAAGAAAATTGAATAAGCAAAGAGATTTTGTATATTTTTAATCTAGATTACATTACATCAGGAAAGGAATTGGGCTTTCCTGCTATATAACGTACTCCATTCTACATATTTCTGTTGTTCAGTCTGGAGTGCAGTGGTGCAGTCTTGTCCTCCTGGGCTCAAGTGATCCTACCACCTCAGCCTCCTGAGTAGCTGGGACTACAGGCATGTACCACCATGCCCAGCTAATTTTTAAAATTTTTTTGTAGAGATGGGGTCTCACTATTTTGCCCAGGCTAGTCATGAATTCCTAGGCTCAAGCAATCCTCCTGCCTCGGCCTCCCAAACTGCTGGGTTTATAGGCATGAGCCACCGCACCTGGCCCATTCTAAATATTTCTTATGCTTGGACAGATTTGTAATTATCAAGGGATCGTCTAGATAATGCTGGTGGAACAACCTTCTGTCTCTTCAGTCTCTCCTTTTAGTATGCTTCCGATGAAACACTCTTGGATTCTGTTCTAATTATACCATTAGCTCTCTAGGTATTCTGGAAAACTTGTATCACTGAAAAACTTGTAATGAATAGAAAATAATAATGTGCCAGATGTGGTGGCACATGCCTGTAATCTCTGTACTTTGAGAGGCCAAAGTGGGCAGATCACTTGAGCCTAGGGGTTTGAGAACAGCCTGGGCAACGTGGTGAAACTCTGTCTTTACAAAAAATACAAAAATCAGCCGGGTGTGATGGTGTGTGCCTGTAGTCCCAGCTACTCC
The DNA here is from genome assembly GCF_000001405.40 of Homo sapiens. Lineage (NCBI taxonomy): Eukaryota > Metazoa > Chordata > Mammalia > Primates > Hominidae > Homo > Homo sapiens. The sequence continues at coordinate 36,243,168 of NC_000009.12, read as the reverse complement.
GGAGGCTGAAGTGGGAGGATTGCTTGAGTCTGGGAGTTCAAGACTGAAGTGAGCCATGATTGTGCCACTGCACTCCAGCCTCGGTGACAGAATAAGACCCTGTCTCAAAAAAACAAAACACTAGTTTTGGCCAGGTGCCAGTGGCTCATGCCTGTGACCCTAGCACTTTGGGAGGCCCAGGCAGGTGGATCACTTGAGGTCAGGAGTTGGAGACCAGCCTGGCCAACATGGTGAAACCCCATTTCTAGTAAAAATACAAAAATTAGCCAGGTGTGCTGGCACATGCCTGTACTCCCAGCTACTCAGGAGGCTGAGGCAGGAGAATTGCTTGAACCCAGGGAGGTTGCTGTGAGCCGAGATTGCACCACTGCACTCCACACTCCAGCCTGGGTGAAGAAGCGAGACTCCATCTCAAAAAAAAAAAAAAAAAAAAAAACAAGCATAAAACCCAGGCCAGATGCGGTGGCTCACACCTGTAATCCCAGCACTTTGGGAGGCCACGGCGGGCAGATCATGAGGTCAAGAGATTGAGACCATCCTGGCCAACATGGTGAAACCCCATCTCTACTAAAAATACAAAAATTAGCTGAGCATGGTGGCGCACACCTGTAGTCCCAGGTACTTGGGAGGCTGAGGCAGAAGAATTGCATGAAACCCAGGAGGCGGAGGCTGCAGTGAGCCGAGATCGCGCCACTGCACTCCAATCTGGCAACAGAGCGAGACTCCGTCTCAAAACAAAAAACAGCAAATAACCATTAGAAAGCAGAATGTAGCAAAATTGAATTGTACTTGTAGGGCTTAAAGTCCTATTTGGGACAATTTAAGCAGTTCTTTATGGAAAGAAGGACAACAGAACAGCTAAAATTGCTTTTTTTTTTTTTGGTCTTTAAACCAGTGAAAAAGAAAACTCAAGACAATGAGGCAGAGCCATCCACCACTGGGCAGTAATACATTTTATATAAAACCTGTTCCTGCTTCTTGATATGCAACTTCTTTTTTTTTTTCTTTTTTTTGAGACAGAGTCTTGCTCTGTTGCCAAGGCTGGAGTTCTGTCACCTAGGCTGGAGTGCATTAGCGCAGTCTCGACTCACTGCAACCTCTGCCTCCCAGGTTTAAGCAATACTCCTGCCTCAGCCTCCTGAGTAGCTGGGACTACAGGCGCACACCACCACACCTGGCTAATTTTTGTATTTTTAGTAGAGATGGGGCTTCATCATGTTCGCCAAGTTCGTCTCGAACTCCTGACCTCAGGTGATCCGCCCTCCTCAGCCCTCCAAACTGCTGGGATTATAGGCATGAGCTACCGCACCTGGCCTTAATATGGAACTTCTCATGCTATCACTCTGCTTACAGGAAGATAGGGTTGGGTAGGCCATATATAACATTGCAGCTTTGTAACCAGAGTGTTAATATATAACAATCTTAATTTTAAAATTAGCAATGTTAAAAAGGCATGTTAAATTCCTAATAATGAAAGGCATATCACAGTAAATATAGGACTTTACAACAGAAAACAAAATGCCTTTATGGAAAGGATTTATGAAAGGGCTGAGGCTGCTGAATTATGGATAGATACAAAGACTGGTAATAATATCAGAAGTGCCAGGTGGAGAAGCAGGTGCAAACTTTGTATGAAATGTATTCTTGCCAGGGATGAGTTGCTCTGGCTCATTGTCTTGCGTTTTACTTTTCCCTGGTCTAAAAAGACTTCTAGTTTTTGCTACTTTGCCATCCTTCTTTCATAAAGAAACTGTTGCTGGGCACAGTGGCTCGCGCCTGTAATCCCAGCACTTTGGGAGGCCGAGGCGGGCAGATCACAAGGTCAGGAGATAGAGACCATCCTGGCCAACATGGTGAAACCCCATCTCTACTAAAAAATACAAAGATTAGCTAGGCGTAGTGGCATAGGCCTGTAGTCCCAGCTACTCAGGAGGCTGAGGCAGGAGAATTGCTTGAACCCACAAGGTGGAGGTTGTAGTGAGCCAAGATCGTGCCACTGCACTCCAACCTGGGCGACAGAGTGAGACTCTGTCTTAAAAAAAAAAAAAAGTAAATGAAACAAAAAGCTGGTTCTTTGAAAAGATAAATAAAACTGTTAGACCATTGGCAAGATTAACCAAGAAAAGAAGGGAGAAAATCCAAATAACCTCACTAAGAAATGAAACAGGAGATATTACAACTGACACTACTGAAATACAAAAGATCATTCAAGGCTACTATGAACACCTTGACACACATAAACTAGAAAACCTAGAAGAGATGGACAAATTCCTGGAAAAATACAACCCTACTAGCTTAAATCAGGAAGAATTACATACCCTGAACAGGTCAATAACAAGCAGCAAGATGGAAATGGTAATTTAAAAATTACCAACAAAAAAAATTCCATGACCAGATGGATTCACAGCAGAATTCTACCAGACATTCAAAGAAGAATTGGTACCAATCCTTTTGACACTATTCTACAAGATAGAGGAAGAAGGAACCCTCCCTAATTTATTCTGTGAAGCCCCCATGACCCTAATACCAAAACCAGGAAAGGACATAACAAAAAAAACAACAGGCCAATATCCTTGATGAACATAGATGCTAAAATCCTTAACAAAATACTAGCTAATCAAATCCAACAACATATCAAAAAGATAATCCTCCATGATCAAGTGGGTTTCATACCAGGGATGCAGGGATGGTTTAATGTATACAAGTCAGTAAATGTGATGGACCACATAAACAGAATTAAAAATCACATGATCATTTCAGTAGATGCAGAAAAAGCATTAAACAAAATCCAGCATCCCTTTATGATTAAAACTCTCAGCAAAATCAGCATACAAGGGACATACCTTAATGTAATAAAAGCCATCTATGACAAACCCACAGCTAATGTAATACTGAATGGGGAAAAGTTGAAAGCATTCCCTCTGAGAATTGGAACAAGACAAGGATGCCCACTCTCACCACTCCTCTTCAACATGGTACTGGAAGTCTTAGCCAGAGCAATCAGACAAGAGAAGAAAAGGGCATCCAAATCAGTAAAGAGGAAGTCAAACCGTCACTCTTTGCTGACAATATGATTATTTACCTTGAAAATCCTAAGGACACCTCCAGAAAGCTCCTAGAACTTATAAAAGAATTCAGCAAAGTTTCTGGATACAAGATTAATGTACACAAATCAGTAGCTCTTCTATACACCAACAGCGACCAAGCGGAGAATCAAACCAAGAACTCAACCCCTATTACAACAGCTGCAAAATTAAATTAAAATAAAATAAAATAAGTAAAATAAAATAATAAAATGAAATATAAAATAAAATAAAATACTTAGGAATATACCTAACCAAGGAGTCAAAAGACCTCTACAAGGGATATTACAAAACACTGCTGAAAGAAATCATAGGCTGGGTGCAGTGGCTCACACCTGTAATCCCAGCAATTTGGGAGGCCAAGGCGGGCAGATCATTTGAGTTCAGGAGTTTGAGACTAGCCTGGCCAACATGGTGAAACCCTGACTCTACTAAAAATACAAAAATTAGCTGGGCATGGTGATGTGCACCTGTAGTCCCAGATACTTGGGAGGCCGAGGCAGGAGAATCGCTTGAACCTGGGAGGCGGAAGTTGCAGTGAGCCGAGATCGCACCATTGCACTGCAGCCTGAGCAACAAGAGTGAGACTACATCAAAAAGAAAAAAAAAAGAGAGAAAAAGAAAGAAAGATAGAAAGAAAGAAATCATAGACAACATGAACAAATGGAAACACATCCCATGCTCATGGATGGGTAGAGCTGATACTGCGAAACACATCCCATACTCATGGATGGGTAGAGTTGATATTGCGAGAATGACCATACTGCCAAAAGCAATCTACAGATTCAATGCAATCCCCATCAAAATACCACCATTATTCTTCACAGAATTAAAAAAATAATTCTAAAATTCATGTGGAACCAAAAAAGAGCCCATATAGCCAAAGCAAGAGTAAGCAAAAAGAACAAATCTGGAGGCATCACACTACCTGATTTCAAACTATACTATAAGGCCATAGTCACCAAAACAGCATGTTACTGGTACAAAAATAGGCATATAGACCAATGGAACAGAATAGAGAACCCAGAAATAAACCCAAATACTTACAGCCAACTGATCTTCGACAAATCAAACAAAAATATAAAGTGGGGAATGGACACCTTTTTCAACAAATGGTGCTGGGATAATTCGCTGGCCACATGTAGGAGAATGAAACTGGATCCTCATCTCTCACCTTATACAAAAATCAACTCAAGATGGATTAAGGACTTTAAGATCTGAAACTATAAAAATTCTAGAAGATTACATGGGAAAACCCCTTCTAGACATTGGCTTAGGCAAGGATTTCATGACCAAGAACCCAAAAGCAAATACGATAAAACAAAGATAAATAGCCTGGACCTAATTAAACTAAAGAGCTTTTGCACAGCAAAAGGAATAGCAGAGTAAACAGACAACCACAGAGTGGGAGAAAATCTTCACAATCTATACATCTGACAAAAGACTAATATCCAGAATCTACAATGAACTCAAACAAATCAGTAAGAAAAAGTCCCATAAAAAAGTGGGCTAAGGACATGAATAGACAATTCTCAAAAGAAAATATACAAATGGCCAACAAACATATGAAAAAATGCTGAACATCACTAATGATCAGGGAAATGCAAATCAAAACCATAATGCGATGCCGCCTTACTCCTGTAAGAATGGCCATAATCAAAAAATCAAAAAACAGTAGATGCTGGCGTGGATGTGGTGATCAGGAACACTTCTACACTGCTGGTGTGAATGTAAACTAGTACAGCCGCTATGGAAAACTACCATTTGATCCAGCAATTCCACTACTGGGTATCTACCCAGAGGAAAAGAAGTCATTATTTGAAAAAGATACTTGCACACGCATGTTTATAGCAGCACAATTCACAATTGCAAAGTCATGGAACCAACCAAATGCCCATTAATCAATGATTGGATAAAGAAACGGTGGTGTGTATATATATGTGTGTGTGTGTGTGTGTGTGTATCTATATATATCTATTTATATCTACATCTATATATCTATGTGTGTGTGTGTATCTATATATATCTACATCTATATATCTACATCTATATCTGTATCTATGATGGAATACTATGCAGCCATAAAAAGGAATGAATTAACAGCATTTGCAGTGACCTAGATGAGACTGGACACTATTATTCTAAGTGAAGTAACTCAGGAATGGAAAACCAAACATTGTATGCTCTCACTGATATGTGGAAGCTAAGCTATGAGGATGCAAAGGCCTAAGAATGATACAGTGGACTTTGGGGACTTGGGGGGAAGAGTAGGAGGGGGCGAGGGATAGAAGACTACAAATATGGTACAGAGTATACTGCTCAGGTGATGGGTGCACCAAAATCTCACAAATCACCACCAAAGAACTAACTCATGTAACCAAATACCACCTAATACCCCAATAACTTATGGAAAAATAAATAAACTTAATTAAAAAAAAAAGTAAGTGGAGCTCACTTTCAGTTTTATGGGATAATATAGGCCCTATTGGTAAATACCTTGCGTTGTTTGACATAGCACTGTCAATCTAAACTTTTTACCTTTTAAATTTTTGCTGAGGAACCGTCCTTGGGATCCCAGCCTAGGGATGAGCGAAACTCTCCTAGTCCTTTAACAGAGTTAGAAACACTTGCCACTTGTTGAATCTGGTAGGTGATAGTACAGGAAAGCTCCTGTGCATTCTAGGAAATATGTTTAATGCTTGTTCAGCCTCAAAATGCCCTGATATGCAACATATTATTATTCATTGATATTGCTGAATATTCACTAAAAACATTAGTTAGAAATTGGGAAGAGTCACATTTTTTGAGTGCTTTGGAATAGTTTGGGTTTTAAAACAGTGAATTTCTAGTGCCTGCTATTTAAAGTTATGTTTGTGGCAGCATGTCTTTGTAAAATGTTAAGTTTGCTGAATACTTGGATTTGTTGCTGTAAATTCTTATCATTTGACTCTAATTTGGATGCCCTGTTCACAATTTGACAAACTGTTTCTATCGTAGAATTTTTAAAAGCACAGACTTAGAGTCTTGCTTTCAGAATTTGCTTCTTTCTCTTTTAAGATTCTTAACTAATGAAGCAATGTGGTTTGATTTTCTTTAAACAGGTGATGATGTAAAATCTAAAGATTACATTGTTGCACTACAGCACCCTGTGACCACTGACATTAAGCATTCCATAAAAATGTTTGAATTAACATTGGATGCACTTATCTCATTTAACAAGCGGACCCTAGTCCTGTTTCCAAATATTGACGCAGGTAATTGAACTTGAAAATGAAATTATGCCACCTACTTTTCCCAATTTTATGTTTCTATTACTTCTTTTAACTGCCTTCCTATCTTGCTCATCTTATCATTGAAGGGCACTCTATTCTGAAATGCATTCCAATTTTCAAAGGATTACCAATTTTGCTATAACTCAAAAAGTTTGTAATGTTTTTGCCAAGTCCAGTAGAAACTTAATAATAAAAAGTCTGTCTACTGTCTACTTTAGTCTCATGTTTAGTACTAATATTTTCCCTCCAGTTTCCACCAGTTAAGAAACTGCAGAAGCCAAGAGACATAAATCTTAGAAGTTGAAGTGAAAGATGGTCGGGCACGGTGGCTCATGCCTGTAATCCCAGCACTTTGGGAGGCCGAGGCAGGCAGAACACTTGAGGTCAGGAGTTCGAGACCAGCCTGGCCAAGATGGTGAAACCCTGTCTCTGCTAAAATACAATAATTAGCCAGCCACAGTGGTGGGCACCTGTAGTCCCAGCTATTCAGGAGGCTGAGGCAGGAGAATCACTTGAACCTGGAAGGTGGAGGTTGCAGTGAGCCGAGATCATGCCACTGCACACTAGTCTCAGTGACAGAGTGAGACTCCATCTCAAAAAAAAAAAAGTTGAAGTGAAAGAATCTCTAGAAAAGTAGTGATTCCACTATCCACAGTAAAATAGCCACTAATATTTTTTCTTGCTTTCTTTCATATTTATGTTAGCTATACCTTAAAGTAATCTTGAGCTGAAGCAGTTTAAATCTGGAGTCCCCAGCCAGTCCCAACCGGTTCATCCTCAAGCCTGCCCTGGCTGATCACTTGCTTACCAGTGGATGGTACTATAGATTTTGGTACTGCTGAGACCTTAGGCGAGTTAATGGGGGTGTGAGATATTAATGAGAAATGTCAGAACATAGCCTAACACTGAAGAATTTCCAAACACTGGTTATCTTTAGCTGACACCACTCATTGTTGAGTTCTTAGGCTTTTTTTTGGTAAAGGAGGCAGAACCCATTCTCTGCAATGTCAAGATATCACCAACTTACTCTGAAAGAACCCCTGTCTTAGTATTCCCTTGAAGAATCTTTTCTGTTAGGGAGAACAAAGTAGGATATTAGTTGGAAAAAAATTTAAGAATACCCAACCCAGATTTTTTCCAGGTAATGTATCAATATTTCAAAAATGTTAATATTTATTCTTTTCTGACCTTTAAATTTTTTATAAATATGTGTAATGTAACTATGTATCATTCTCGTTCAGCATTCATTGTCAATGATATATTCTGTTTATAATACACTTTCCTGGCTGTATATACTTTAGAATTAGAGGTATTTTTTTTCTATGAAAGTAAAGGGTCCCAGGTATATCTAAGTCATGGCTGCCACTTGCCTCTACCCTCCACAGGGTTTTTGATAAGCTATACACAGGGAACAATAGGAAAATAAGAATCAAGGCATCACTTTATCATTATCTGGCTTAGTGCCCTGTTCCCCAGTACAGGACTCCCTCCGGAAAATGGATTATCGAAGCCTTAAGCCAAAGAGGGGCTTTCAACTGAATCGAAACCTGAATCTTGGAATAGTAGTGGTGCCTTCTGGTGTGCCATGTACTACAGTTTGAGTATCCCTAATCAAAAAATCTGGAATCTGAAATGCTCCAAAATCTCAAACTTTTTGAGCACCAATATGACGCTCAAAGGAAGCGTTTATTGGAGCAGTTGGATTTTGGATGTTCAGATTGGGGATGCTGATCTGGTAAGTATTACAGAATAACAAATATTTCAAAATCCAAAAAAACTTGAAACCCAAAATATTTCTGGTCCCAACCATGTCGAATAAGGGATGCTCAACCTGTACAATAATTACAGATGATGCTCTGGCAAGACTGTATATAGAGAGAAGTGGCCAGGCCTTCTCCAGGGAATTAGACCCTGAGTCCATTTACCTACCTTGCAACACAATAAAAGTTAAAAAAATTGAGAACCATGCATGCACAGCTTTGGTTAAATGAGTGGCACCTGCCCAGTGGTAAGCATGGTGTGGTCAGACCTCTGCCTTCTAACCAGTCAGGTTAGCAATTTTCCTCCCTAGGTATGGGGTAGTTAGGAGGGGGTCAGTTGAGAGGCAAGCAGAGGGACATTAAATATTGCCTCCCCTTCATGTATCTTTAAATTTTTATTAAGTCATGCAGTTAAAATAGAAGCCACAGTTATCAGAATCTATGTGTATTTTCTTGGAGTTTAGTTCATATAAATGGGAGTGCTATCCCACCGAGTTCTTGTTAGTGTAAAGGTGAGTGTAGCTGGGCAGAGGCTCTCTCATCAGCTTGGTGTGTGGAGCCTGAGAGGGTTCCATTTGGGAACTCTCAGGTTAAGAGATACAGGCTGTTGGCCTGTCTTTAGCCTCTTAATTGTTGTTTAAGGTAAAGGCTTTTACTAGGGCATTGATAAAAGTTATTTGCTTTGCCTAGTTCTGTTTGAAAAGTCCCAACTGCTGCTTTTTGAGTTCCTAGATGAGTGAAGCAGAGGACATTTTAGATATCCATCATTCATGAAAAAGCCAGTAGTTAAAATTACTATTTCCCTAATAACTGATGTGAGGTTTTTTTAGGGAGATTTCTTTACGTGGGCTATACTTGCCAATGAAAATGGTTTCTTTATCTCACAAACCATTTACCAATTGGTTCTTTTCATTTTCATAGGGAGCAAAGAGATGGTTCGAGTGATGCGGAAGAAGGGCATTGAGCATCATCCCAACTTTCGTGCAGTTAAACACGTCCCATTTGACCAGTTTATACAGTTGGTTGCCCATGCTGGCTGTATGATTGGGAACAGCAGCTGTGGGGTTCGAGAAGTTGGAGCTTTTGGAACACCTGTGATCAACCTGGGAACACGTCAGATTGGAAGAGAAACAGGTATTTACCTTTGCTCATACTTCAACTGACTAGGCTTTATACATACGTGAGTTGTTATAAGGTATGCATATATCAGTACTGAGCATATATTTTGTGAACAAGTGAGTGAATGAGGTTAATAACCAGTTGAAGCCTAAAATCTATAGTCGATAAATAGCACACAGTGATTACCAAATATTTTAGATCTCTACTTACATTTTATTGTCTTTGTAATATCAATTAGCACTAAGTGGTTCTTTCTTTTTTTTTTTTTGAGATGGAGTCTCGCTCTGTCGCCCAGGCTGGGGTGCAGTAGCGTGATCTCGGCTCACTGCAAGCTCCGCCTCCCAGGTTCACGCCATTCTCCTGCCTCAGGCTCCCAAGTAGCTGGGACTACAGGCGTCAGCCACCAAGCCCGGCTAATTTTTTGTATTTTTTAGTAGAGACGGGGTTTCACTTTGTTAGCCAGGATGGTCTCAATCTCCTGACCTCGTGATCCGCCCACCTCGGCCTCCCAAAGTGCTGGGATTACAGGCGTGAGCCACCGCGCCCAGCCTAAGTGGTTTTTAATTATGGTCTTTCATGGCTGTGTTTAAGAGAGAATGTGGTTGAATGTTTCATGAATATATGAATGCTAGTCTTTTATTTTCTGGGCCTAATGTAGAATCCCTTCAGTCAGTACTTTAGAGTATGGTAGTTCTAAGTAAAGTGCCCCTTAAGTATAAGTAGGATTATTATTAATGAATTTGCTAACTGAGCTAGGTCCTGTTATTAACATTAGTTCAAGTTCTAATCCTGTTTACATGCAGTGGAATTTAATGGAAGCTGTAATGGAAAAGTGTGTATCATTAAAGGAAAAAGAACTGGACTAGAACCAAGGAGATGAGTTCTAGCTCTGCTCTTTCTCCAGTTCTTCATAATTGCCACCTTTCTGTTATATTTAGATCTTCTTCCCTTCTCATTCCCAGCATATTACTTTACTCCCCACTTCATAGAGAAAATGGAAGCCATGAGATGGAAATTCTTTCAAATTCCTCAATTCATTTATTTAGAAAATATTTAGTAAACACCTACCATGTACTAGGCACTGGGATTTGGCAATAAACTAGACCAAGAAGAGCTGGGCTCTCGTGTAACTTACATTCTAGTGGGAGAGGAGATAGATGATAGACATACACAAAAGAAATAAGAAAAATATCAGGAATTCTATATGCTGTGCCTGCTGTAACACAAGGTATATGATGGACTCCATTAGATTGGTTAAAGGAAGGCCTCTTTAAGGAGATGACACCTAAGCTGAAATCTGAATGACAAGGAGTCAGCTATGTGAGGATCAGGGAGAGGCAGTGGCAACAGCCAGTGTGAGGGCCGGGAGGTGAACTTGGTGTATTTGAGAAATGGAAGCGCTATTGTGGCTGTAGAGTAGTGAGCAAGAGGCAGAGTGATACAGGTGATGTTAGAGAAGGAAACAGATGCATGTAAGCCAGGGTAAGTCATTTGGAATTTTTTCTAAGTGTAATGGGAAGGAATGACATGACAAGAGTTGCATTTTGGAAAGATCACTCCGGTTGCTAATATACAGAATGGAATGTCGGGAGGGGGGGCGGGGGGGCAAGAATAAAAGCAGGGAGACCAGTAAGGGGGCTGATTCAGTTGCTCAGATGAGAGATGATAGTGGCTTTGATGAAGTATTAGAGATGGAAAAAAGTTAGATTTGGGTCTTGTTATAGTACTTGCTGATGCTTGGATGCGGAGGTGAAAGGAATCAACAAGGAAGCCTAGATTTCTGATTGGGCAGTGATATGCTGGGAATGAGAAGGGAAGAAGATGTAAATATAACAGAAAGGTGGCAATTATGAAGAATTGGAGAAAGAGCAGAGCTAGAACTAATCTCCTTGGTTCTAGTCCAGTTCTTTTTCCTTTAATGATACACACTTTTCCATTACAGCCTAGATTTCTGATTGGGCAGCGATATGGGGACACTGAGGGAGGAACAGATTTGGGGAGGGATTGAATTAAGAGTTCTCTTATAGCTATGTGAAGTTTGAGATGCCTATTAGATATCAAAGCAGACATGGCTAGTAAACAGCTAGATAGTTCCAGGAAGAGTTAGAGTTGGAGATAGAAATTTGAGAGTCATTGGTATAGAGATGATGCATAATTGGTTGTCAGTTTGGCTGCTATAACAGAGACCCTAAATAATAGTGGCTGAAATAAGTTAAATGTTCTTTCTTTCTCAGTGGATGGCAGCTCCACAATCATCAGACTTAGCCCCCATCTATTTTCTTAGTGGTTGCTCTAGCTATTGCTTGCAAGTCTCTGTTTTAGCCTTTGGAAGAAGGAAAAGAGAAGATGCCTTTCACTTTAAAGGCAAGACCTGAAAGTTGCAAATCTTTCTTCTCACATCCATCAGAACTTAGTCACATGGCCACATCTGGCTGCAAGGCAAGCTGAAGAATATAGTCTTTTTTGTTTGTTTGTTTGTTTTGTTTTTGTCTGAAATGATACTGTTCTGTTGCTCAGGCTGGAGTGCAGTGGTGTATTCATAGCTCATCGTAACCTTGAATTCCTGGGCTCAAGTTATCCTCTCACTTTAGCCTCCTCAGCCATGCCTGGCTAATGTTTTTACAAAATGTTTTGTAGAGACAGGGTCTTGCTTTGTTGTCCAGGCTTGTCTTAAACTCCTGGTCTCAAGTGATCCTTCCTACCTTGGCCTCACAAAGTCCTGGAATTATGGATGTGAGCCATTGTGCCCAGTCTGTGTTTTGTTTGTTTTCTTTCCTTCTTTCTTTTCCTTCCTTCCTTCCTTCTTTCATTGTCTTTCTTTCTTTCTCTTTCTCTCTCTCTCTTTCTTTCTTTTTTTTTTTTTTTTTTAGTGAAGCAGTGCTGGGGGAGGAGGAACTGGTTGTGATCAATTAGTTGTAAACACCAGCCAGAATATAATCTTTGGCTGGGGATCAGATGCCTGGCTAAAAATTCTGTTTCTAGTATGAAGAAAAGATATTGAAGATAATGGCACCAGCCATAGATAGTATTTAAAACCCAGGCCAGGTGTGGTGGCTCAACACCTATAATCCCAGTGCTTTGGGAGGCCAAGGTGGGATGATTGCTTGAGGCTGGGAGTTCGACCCTAGCTTGGGTCAAGATAGTGATATTTTATCTCTGCAAAAAAATTTTAGCGTGAACCCAGGAGGCGGAACTTGCAGTGAGCCAAGATCGCGCCACTGCACTCCAGCCTGGGCAACAGAGCGAGACTCCGTCTCAAAAAAAAAAAAAAAAAGATAGTGATATTTTCTCTCTACAAAAAAATTTTAAAATTAGGTGGACCTGGTAGCATGCGCCTGTGGTCCTAGTTACTCAGGAGGCTGAGGCGGGAGGATCACTTGAGCCCAGGAGTTTGTTACAGTGAGCTATGATCGTGCCACTACACTCCAGCCAGGGTGACAGAGCAAGACTCCGTCTCAAAAAAAAAAAGACTTGTAAATAGGGCAGAGAATGGAGCCCAGGACCAACCTCTGGAGCCCTTCAATCTTTAGAGTTCTGGTGAAGAGGGAAGGGCCAGCAAGGAAGACTGAAGAGGAACACCAGTGAGGTTGGAGGGAAACAAGGAGAGTGTGCTATCTATAAAGCCCCCAAAATAAAATGTTTTAAGGATGGGGTGGTGGATACTGCTGAGTTCATTTAAGATGTGAAAGGACAGCCATGCACAGTGGCTCACGCCTGTAATCCTAGCACTTTGGGAGGCCAAGGCAGGTGGATCACTTGAGGTCAGGAGTTCAAGCCAGCCTGGCTAACATGGTGAAACGCCATCTCTAAAAATACAAAAATTAGCCAAGCGTGGTGGTACACGCCTGCAATCCCAGCTACTCAGGAGGCTGAGGCAGGAGAATCGTTTGAACCTGGGAGGTAGAGGTTGCAGTGAGCTGAGATTGTGCCACTGCACTTCAGCCTGGGCAACAGAGCAAGACTTTGTCTCAAAAAAAAAAAAGTGAAAGGAGAATTGAACCATATGCCAACATGGTCTCTGTACTTTTTGCCACTACACTTAAATAAACGTATATAAATGTGCATGCCCATCCATCCTTTCCTTCTTACCTTTTTTATAGCAGGGTGTGGGCATGGGTGTGGGTGTGGGTGTCTCTCCTGCCTGTCTACTGCCCATCCTTCTACCTGTGTTTTCAATCCCAACCACTCCTGCCTTCTCAGGGACCTATCCATGAGTGATCTTTTCTCATCCTTCTTTATTTAACCTCCTCATCATTTAAACATGCCTAAGCCTCTCACATCTTAAAAACAAACAACACAAAACAACTCCTTTCTTGACCCCACACCTCTCTCCAGATGTTACTCGTCCACTCTTCTCTTCTTAGCCAAACCCATTGAACAGTGTGGCCATTTTCGCTAGATTTACTCCCTCATATTGGTCAGGAAATGTCTGGAGGGAAAGTGACTGCCTGACCAGCCAAGTGAACCACTGGCTGAGTAGATGGAAGGCAGGGCAGGTTGAAAGAGAGTGAATCTCATAGATGACTAGGCAAATGGTAAGTGGATGCCAGGTTGGTCTACCTTATTTATTTTAATAAACAAAAACTTGATTTGTTCTCCTTGGGAATAAAGGACCCTAGGGCCCTTAAGTGTTTGATGTACTGAAATCTTGCCAAGAGTACTTTAAAAGGTATAAAGTAGAAAAGTTGAATTTTCCCTAACAAAAGACTTAACCTGAAGTCAGCTGGATTTCAGGTCTAATTATGAGCATAGTACACTGATAATTTCTTTATTCTTTGGATATTCCCACTTCCAAATCCTTGTAATGTGTCACTGGTTTTACCTAGGGGAGAATGTTCTTCATGTCCGGGATGCTGACACCCAAGACAAAATATTGCAAGCACTGCACCTTCAGTTTGGTAAACAGTACCCTTGGTGAGTATAAAACATTCTTTGTTGAGTGATTTAAAAGGGGAGCTACCTTCAGTACCATTTTAAAGCTACAATCACTGTTTAATCATCCTAACAGAGCTTTCCTTCTTATGCCTACGGGCCCCTAGTTGCTGGGGAGACAGGGATTGCTAATATCATACCCATTATTACTGTTCCAAAGGTTCCAATGTAGAATACATATTTTATTTCTTTTTTTTTTTTTTTTTTTTGAGATGGACTCTTGATCTGTTGCCCAGGATAGAGTGCAGTGGCGCCATCTCAGCTCACTGCAACCTCCGCCTCCTGGGTTCAAGCAATTCTCCTGTCTCAGCCTCCCAAGTAGCTGGGATTACAGGTGCGCACCACCACGCCTGGCTAATTTTTGTATTTTTAGTAGAGATGGGGTTTCACCATGTTGGGCAAGCTGGTCTCAAAACTCCTGACCTCAGGTGATCCGCCTGCCTCAGCCTCCCAAAGCGCTGGGATTACAGGTGTGAGTCACTGCGCCCAGCCTTATTTTATTTGTTTCTCTTAATTAATACAACACTTTTGCTACACTTATTTAACCTTCTTTGGCTTTCTATAAATATTAGAAAATAATGTAACTGATTTTTTTTAAAAAGTCTAGTTCAGCTTTTTAATTAATTTTGACCACCCTCCTTTCTGTTTCAAATCGATGAGATTTCCCTGTATTTGAATATTTCTTTCTGAAAATAATTTTGTTTTCTCAGAAATATAAAGATAAAAACTAAAAAAAGCAAAAAAATACAGGCACTTAGTTACAATGTTGCTGAAGAGATCTAGATATTATTTTATATAAAATTTTTTTAGTTCTGTATAATTATGATTTATAGTTTTTAACTTTTAATTGACAGATAAAATTGTATGTATTTATTGTGTACAACATGATGTTCTGAAGTATGTATATCTTGTGGAGATGTTATTTTATTTCTTTTTTGTTATTGTTGGTTGTTTTTTTTTTTTTTTTTTTGAGACGGAGTCTTGCTCTGTCATCCAGGCTGGAGTGCAGTGGTGCGATCTCGACTCACTGCAACCTCCGCTTCCCGGGTTCAAGCAGTTCTCCTGCCTCAACCTCCTGAGTAGCTGGGATTACAGGCACCCACAACGCCTGGCTAATTTTTGTGTTTTTAGTAGAGATGGGGTTTCACCGTGTTGGCCAGGCTGATCTTGAACTCCTGACTTCAGGTGATCCGCCAGCCTCGACCTCCCAAAGTGCTAGGATTACAGGTATGAGCCACTGCACCCAGCCTATTTATTTCTTTAAACATGATTTTTAAAATTACTTTTTGTAGAGATAGAGTTGCTATGTCTGTGTTGCCCAGGCTGGTCTCAAACTCTTGGGCTCAAGCAATCTTCCTGCCTCAGCCCCCCAAAGTGCTGGGATTACAGGTGTGAGCCACTGTGCACGGCAGGAAGATGTCACTTTAGGAAGAAGCATGAATTATTTTTACCTGAAGTCTCAGTTTCCATTACATTATACCCTCACTACCACTTAACATGTATGGCAGAAGCATATAATTTAATTGACTTTTTGTATATTGCAGTTCAAAGATATATGGGGATGGAAATGCTGTTCCAAGGATTTTGAAGTTTCTCAAATCTATCGATCTTCAAGAGCCACTGCAAAAGAAATTCTGCTTTCCTCCTGTGAAGGAGAATATCTCTCAAGATATTGACCATATTCTTGAAACTCTAAGTGCCTTGGCCGTTGATCTTGGCGGGACGAACCTCCGAGTTGCAATAGTCAGCATGAAGGTAAAATAACTCCTAAACTCCTAACTTTATATCCCATATGAGCGATTGATTTTTTTTTTAAGTATATATAGTTGGAAGGTAAGACTAGAAACATACACAAGAGCTTGTAATCATTTGCTGATAGTATTGACTTGTGGATCCTTTACAATGTTTGTCTCACTATTTTACTGATCATTAACATTTCAAAGAAGTAAATTCTTTGGGAATCCAAGACGGTAGACTTGACAGTGGGAAGACCCCTTTAGGCATCAGATCGGGCTTTTGCCACCCAAAAGACCTGAAATTCTATACTTGGTAACAGCTTGGAGTGTGGAGTATGCTGATTACTATCACTGCCCAGGTGAGGGGTATCAGCAAATGGTGAAGGGAGCTGCCTCTTCTCTAGAATGTGATCAGTTGTGTGGATTTTCCATTTTGCATTTTTACAGTTCTGCTCTTTATTGAGTACAGCATACCTTCAATCTGTTAACCAAACCATCACCCAGTGTTGACAGGTGAGAGAACATTCATAAAAATAACAAACTGTTCATGTTAAAGTGATCTCTAATGACTTAGAATAAACCTACTAGAAAAATCTTGGTTTGAAATAGTGTGAGTGTATAAAGCTTCCAGAGACGATGAGAAATAGCAAAGATTTTAAATGTAAAGTTGTAGGAAATTTATTAATACCATTAGGTCAAATAAGGAAAGCAAAACAAAACATAATTTTCTCAAGAAAAGCCAAGAGGCCTCCCTTATAAATACTCTTTTAAAAACTAATAGAAGGCTGGATGCAGTGGCTTACGCCTGTAATCCCAGCACTTTGGGAAGTCCAGGTGGGCAGATCACTTAAGGTCAGGAGTTTCAGACCAGCTTGGACAACATGGTGAAACCCTGTTTCTACTAAAAATACAAAAAAAAAAAAAAAATTAGCTGGGCATGGTGGCAGGCACCTGTAATCCCAGCTACTTGGGAGGCTGAGGCAGGAGAATCGCTTGAACCCAGGAGGTGGAGATTACAGTGAGCCAAGATCGCACCACTGCACTCCAGCCTGGGCAACAGAGTGAGACTCCATCTCAAAAAACAAAACAAAAACTAATAGAAGAATAGTTTCTTAACAGAAAGATGATTTATTCCATATGAAAGGCCAACATCTTTTTCAATGGTGAAATTCTAGAGGCATTCCCATTGAAATCAAGAAGAAAAGAAAGATGTTTTGTGCAGCATTATCTCACATAATTTTGGAAGTTATGAGGGAATAAAGGAAGGAATAGCAAAAATGGAGATTATTGATAGGGTAAAACAAAAAACATTATTAATAGACAAAAAAATGCTTGGCTCCCACCCTGGACTGGTTAAATTAGAGTCTCTGGGGATGGGGGCCAGGCATCGCTCTTCGTTAAAAGCTGTCCAGGTGATTCTGATGCACAGCGAAGATTGAGAAGCACTACTCTAGATTTTTTATTCTCTTAATTTAAAAAAATTTTTTTTTAGAGACAAGGTCTTCCTATGTTTCCCAGACTGGACTCAAGGTCCTGGGCTTAAATGGTCCTCTGCCTCAGCCTCCCAAGTATAATAGCTAGGACCACAGGCACATGCCACTGTGCCCAGCTCTAGATGTATTTTTGTTTTTTGAGACTGAGTCTTGCTCTGTCGCCCAGGCTGGAGTGCAGTGGCGTGATCTCGGCTCACTGCAACCTCTGCCTCCCGGGCTCAAGTGATTTTTGTGCTTCAGCCTCCTGAGTAGATGGGACTACAGGCTTATGCCAGCATGCCTGGCTAATTTTTGTATTTTTTGTAGAGACAGTGGTTCACCATGTTGCCCAGGCTGGTCTTGAACTCCTGGGCTCAAGGGATCTGCCAGCCTCGACCTCCCAAAGTGCTGGGATTACAGGTGTGAGCGACCGTGCCTGACCTAGATTTATTTTTAATGACAATCCTAGTGACAGCTCTAACCCTATATTTGAGATATAAAAATCCACTAATAACAAAATAATATAAATGGAAAGAGAGATCTTATTCAGAACAACAACAAAAACTCCTAAGAATAACTGAAACCAGGAACGATGTAATCTATATAAAGAAAATTCTAAAACTTTACTGTAAGACATAAAGTCTTGAAAAAAATGCCCTGGATGGAAGTGCTGATTATTTTTAAGATGTCAGTGTTTTCCCAATTTGATTTATAAGATCAACATAATCTAGTAAATATTTCAATGGTATTTGTTTTACATTTAGTAAAATTATTGTAAATCACAGTGGAATTTCTCAAAGTTTAACATTAAAAGTACAAAAGTCAGTTGTGCAAAGAAAAAAGATAAAGACAAGTAATCAGGAGGGACTATCCCTGTTTGGTATTAAAACATATCAAAAAGCACAGTAATGTGTTTTATTTTTTTGAGACAGGGTTTCACTCTGTCGCCCAGACTGGAGTGCAGTGGTATGATCTCGGCTTACTGCAACCTCTGCTTCCTGGGTTCAAGCGATTCTCCAGCCTCAGCCTCTCAAGTAGCTGAGACTACAGGCGTGTGCCACCACGCCCAGCTAATTTTTGTATTTTTTATAGAGATGGGATTTCCTCTTATTGCGCAGGCTGGTCTTGAACTCCTGAGGTCAAAGTGATCTACCTGCCTCGGCCTCTCAAAGTGCTGGGATTACAGGCGTGAGCCACCACGGCCGGCCATATAATAATTTAAACAATGTGGTATTTCTGCCAGCCAGGATGGAAATTTACCCTAAGGAAATAGAGTATCCAGACCATCACTGAATTCAGTTACAGGAGATGATTAAAGCTCAGCTACTTAGTTGCCTCAGTGTTTTTTTGTTTTTGTTTTTGAGAAAGGGTCTCACTCTGTTGCCCAGGCTGGAGTGCAGTGGCGTGATCTCAGCTCACCGCAGCCTGAACTTCCCAGGCTCAAGAAATCCTCCCAGCTTAGCCTCCCAAGTAGTTGGGACTACAGGCATGTGCCAACATGCCTGGCTAATTTTTTGTAGAGAGGAGGTCTCACTGTACCTCCCAGGCTGGTTTTAAACTCCTGGGCCCAAGCGATTCTCCCGCCTTGGCCTCCCAAAGTGCCGGGATTACAGGCGTGAGCCACTATGCCCGGTCACCTCAGTAAGCAAGAAAGTTTTGTCAACCTGAAAGAGTAAACTATGGTCTTTTAATGAACTAGGCTCAAATTAGCGAACATTGAACTTAAGCTTAAGAAAGGGGCCCGGCCGGGGGCAGTGGCTCACGCCTGTAATCCCAGCACTTTGGGAGGCCGAGGCAGGCGGATTGCTTGAGGTCAGGAGTTTGAGACCAGCCTGGGCAGCATGGTGAAACCCCATCTCTACTAAAAATACAAAAATTAGCCGGGCGTGGTGGCAGGCACCTGTAATCCCAGCTACCTGGGAAGCTGAGGAAGGAGAATCGCCTGAACCTGGGAGGTGGAGGTTGCAGTGAGCTGAGATCGCGCCATAGCGCTCCAGCCTGGGCAACAGAGCGAGAGGCCATCTCAAAAAAAAAAAAAAGAGAGGGGCCCATCTTGCTGCCTGTGGAGTTGTCATTGCTTCAACAGCCCCATATTAGGACAGATTACAGGAACTACTTGAGCTTACCCCAGGGCTGGCCCAGACCAGGCAGTGGGTCCTTCCCCAAGCAGTCATCTAAGACTGCGGGGCCATCCTATAGCAGTGTCTAATTTGTCATGAAAAAGATCACAACACTCACAATATGCTGCTTAGCTAAGACCAGTAAGACGGAACTTGTTGTTTTCTCTTTTAGGGTGAAATAGTTAAGAAGTATACTCAGTTCAATCCTAAAACCTATGAAGAGAGGATTAATTTAATCCTACAGATGTGTGTGGAAGCTGCAGCAGAAGCTGTAAAACTGAACTGCAGAATTTTGGGAGTAGGTAAGATTGTAAATTATAAATCCAAGAAATGCTCATTTTAATGTACAAAATTTACTAACTTGTGATGCATGCCTGAGCATCAAGTCAGTGTCTGCCCTGTGCATAGATGGCTCTAGGTGCTGTCTGTGGGCCCCAAGCATGGGGACTTCCTGGGACACCAACAAGCATTAGGAGAGAAGCACTGACAGTTCTAGAAATCTTTAAGGTGCTATGGCTTTAATTCACAACTGTCTAATATTTCCTTGCAGTCCTTGGTAACGTTTGTCTTAGGAGATCTGGGGTGAATGAATCTGTGTTCTTAAGACAAGAAAGTCAGCATACTTTCCTGAGATTGCTCATCAGCATTATTTCCTTGTGTTTGTGGTGGAGCGCAGGCATTTCCACAGGTGGCCGTGTAAATCCTCGGGAAGGAATTGTGCTGCATTCAACCAAACTGATCCAAGAGTGGAACTCTGTGGACCTTAGGACCCCCCTTTCTGACACTTTGCATCTCCCTGTGTGGGTAGACAATGATGGCAACTGTGCTGCCCTGGCGGAAAGGAAATTTGGCCAAGGAAAGGGACTGGAAAACTTTGTTACACTTATCACAGGCACAGGTAAGAGGGGTAGGGGGAGGTTGGTTCAGGAGCTAGAATGTATATTGGAGCATGTCTTCAACATGGTCAGGTGGTTACAACTCTGCCTTAGCCTTCACTTCCTGCATGACTAGAGCCTGAAGGTGAGCCACATGTGGCCTTTTCTGAGCATGTGCCCAGCCTTAGACATGCCTGTGGCCTTCTAAATTCCAGGAACTTGTCAGAGCTATTCAAAGCTCTTATTTCCCAGAGCTTCTCATTTCCCAGCTTTTCCTCCCAGTCTTTTTGGTTAGTGTGTTGGATGCCCCAGCTGTTATCCTTTGCCCTAGACAGCACAGACTAATACATTTTACCTTGAAATGTTTTTTTTTTTTTTTTTGAGACGGAGTCTCGCTCTGTCGCCCAGGCTGGAGTGCAGTGGCGGGATCTCGGCTCACTGCAAGCTCCGCCTCCTGGGTTCACGCCATTCTCCTGCCTCAGCCTCCCAAGTAGCTGGGACTACAGGCGCCCGCCACTACGCCCGGCTAATTTTTTGTATTTTTTAGTAGAGACGGGGTTTCACCGTTTTAGCCGGGATGGTCTCGATCTCCTGACCTCGTGATCCGCCCGCCTCGGCCTCCCAAAGTGCTGGGATTACAGGCGTGAGCCACCGCGCCCGGCCGAAATGTTTTTGATA